>NW_012132919.1:0-179932 GCF_000001405.40 Homo sapiens
CCATAGAAGCAAATTTGTGTATGTGGGTGGGAACTAGGATATTTTATTTGTTTGGGGATGCTTTTATTACAGGTAAAAGCAATAACTGCATATTTTGGTCTGAGATGTATTTTTTCTACTAATAAAATTAATAGGCTAATAAGGGCAATGATCACCTTCAAAAAACACACAATTTTCGCTAGTTAATGCCAGGTCTGATCAGCACATTTTAGATGGATGGATGGTTGAATGGGTCAATGGGTAGATGGATGGTTGGATGGATGGATGGATGAGGAGGAGGTGGTAGATGGATAGGTGAATGGGTAGGTGGATGGGTGGGTGGATGGGTGGATGGATGGATGGTGAGTGGGTGGGTAGATGGATGGGTGAGTGGATGAAAGGTTGAGTGGATGGGTGGGTGGGAGGTGGGTGGCTTGGCTAAGTTAGGATTGCTACCTTTAAAAGCATAGCAATGGTAACATAGAGTATCGGCCAGGCAACAACATTTAGCCAGAAAAGACAGATCCAGAGCAGGGTCTCCCAGCTGGCTTGCAATAAATAAATTACTTTTTCGTAATTTTGTCAAAAACGTTCAATGTGCTTGGTTTTAATGACCAGGAAATATCTAGCTGTGTTGAAGCCCCCCATCTCAGGGGGAGGTATTACCTGCTGATGGTTCTCGGCTTGTTGAAAGTTCACATCCTAAGAGTGTGTGTTGTTGTTAGTGTGATTACAGAAAATCTGCGCCCTCTTTCTAACCTGTGTCAAAGATAAACAAGGCATGACACAAGGTGGTAAGAACAGATTTTAATCAGCAACAACTATTGCAATAGGGAAAAGAATACAACGTGAACTAAATTCAACTTCCATTTGTACAGCAGTGACTGGGCATTTATAAAAGGAGAAGGAAGGAGTGGAGAGAGTTAAGCAGGATTTAGTAGAGTCAGGGAGGTGAAAAACTCCGAGGGTTAGTCATGTGATAATGTCGGTGGTGTCTGCGAACTGGCAATTATGGAAGTTAGGATTCCATCCTCCCACAGAGACCAGACACAGAGGCTCTGTCCTCAGGTGTCAGCTGGAACAAGTCATAAGCTCTTTTGGCAGGTGTGACTTTTCTCTGGCAGGCACTTCTGGTTGGGGGACAGCCAGGGCCATCCTAGGAATGTGACCTTGTTCTGTTAGAAACTGTGCTAGTGTTTGTTCAAGTCTTTATAGACCGAGCTTAAGGCCTAGTTAAAAAAGGATTCAGAGAAATCTGACTCAAGTTTGGTCAAAGAGAGAGTCCTTGCCAATTGTTATTCTTTAGGCATTTAGATATCTCTGAATACCCAAACAGAGAATACAGACAAAAAGGAATAAGCAAACTATGTTGTCAAGGAACAGTTTTATTGTCAAAATGTATCTCAGTGATGATTAATGAATTGGAAAGTTATAAGATGCCTCTATTAATCACTTTTCTAAATGAGTTGAGTTTTGCAGCACAGCTGAAAATTTTGATTTCATTGTTTAAAGCAAATTTTGGAAAGAACTATTGAGTGCAAGTTAAAGCCGGAAACTCACAGAGGCAAAGAAACATAGAGGATGGTCTGTTCCCCTACTGCCATAGACTCTATAAAGAGCTTGTTTCACGGCCTTTGTTTTCAATGTTCCTCCTATGGAAAAAATAATTGCCAGTTTTCCCACCAATGTGGACACATATATGAAAATTTTTTGACTCTTCCCAATCATTTGTAAAAATGATACTATCCTCTCCTGTTTTTGCACGCCATTAGAGAGATGAGGTGCAAGTGTACCATAGGCCTAGAAACCTTGCAATGTCAGCTACGCACTGTTTATCTCAACTCACATACGCAGATATTTGTTGCAGATTAGGGTGTTGTCTGTAAAGAAAGAAAAGTGTTCAAAGAAAACCTGCTAGGTGATGTATTTGTTTTCGCTTATTGCTGTTACAAATTACCACAAACTTAGTGACTTAAAACAACATAAATTTATTATCATATGAGATCCAAAGTCTGAAATGGGCTTCAAGTAGCTCAAATCAAAGTGTCTGCAGGGCTAATTCCTTCTGGAGGCTCCAGCAGGGAATCTGTTTCCTGCTTCTAGAGGCTTCTACATGTCTTGGCTCACGGCTCTTTCCTCCGCCTTCAGAGCCAGCAATCGCTGCCTGTGTTTTTCTAATATCATATTACTTGACACCGACTCTTCTCCCTCCCTCTTCCACATTTAAGTACCCTTATAATTAAAATTGAGCCCACGTGGATAATTCAGGATAATCTCCTGTTTTCAAGCCAACCAATTAGGAATACTAACTCCATCTGCTGCCCAGTTCACGTAACGTAGCCACAGGTTCTGGGAATTAGGATTTAGATGTCTTTGGGCGGCCTTGTTCATTACAATGAAGCAATTTCCATCTGCTGCAGATTCTAGATCTAGAAGTTGCCACTTGACAACTGCGTGACTTTAGGTAAATCTCCTGACACTTAAATGCTTCCCTGGCTCTTCTCATTTGCAAGTTGAAGGCACTGTGTTAGGTAACCTCTGCCATCTCTTTCAGAGCCCTCCAAGTTTGAGGAATCCTTTTGATCAAAGGTGAAGGTCATGAAGTGTAATTTGCTTTGCCGTGGTTATTGCATTCTCGTTGATTGATTTTTTGGATTGGATACCCATGAAGTCTTATGCACATTTAAAGTTAATTATTTCTTCATTATATAATTAAATGTAGATGAGTCCCAGTGTAAAGTGTCAGACGGATAACTTATTCTTTCCAAAAGAAGAACAGACTCACTCAGCAGCAGCTTTTCTGCTCTCTCTGGAAAGGAGGTATTGAGTCGTCTTAGATTAACTCATGGTCTTCCTGACAGGATTGGGTATGGATTTTAACAGATTACAGTCATCTTGGATGCCTTCCAGAAACTGATTCTAAACTGCTTTTATTTTTCATAGGAAACACCCAACAACACTGCATAGAAATTAGATACTCCTAAAGTGGATTTGAACCAGTAAAATTAGCTGTAAATATCGAAGCATAACTAAGGTTTAGTGTCTTCTCTTTGTAGGTAATTTGTGCAGCCCTAACATTTCTCCCCTCTGGAGCTTAGCTGTACAATTCTAATCACTACTGTGGTCTCTGCTCAGTGGGCCATCGCTCATGTTTTGAAAGCACTGGCTTTGTCCCTATGTGAGCTTGCTAGTTAGTTGATACATGCAGGAGTGTGGTGGCCTCAGGGGAATGGAATTTCTTTCTTCTGTTTATAGGTTAGTTTGGGGAAAAAAATGTGTGTGTGTGTGTGGGTGTGTGTGTGTGTGTGTGTGTGTGTGTGTGTGTTTACTGAGATGGAGTCTCATTCTGAATCCTAGGCTGGAGTGCAGTGGCATGATCATAGCTCACTGCAGCCTTGACCTTCTGGGCTCAAGCAATCCTCCCACCTCAGCCTCCCAAGTAGCTGGGCCTACAGGCACACACCACTATGCCTGGCTAATTTTTAAATGTTTTGTAGAGATGGGGTCTCTCTATGTTGCCCAGGCTGATTTTGAACTCTTGGTCTCAAGTGATCCTCCCACCTCAATCTCCCAAAGTCCTGGAATTACAGGTGTGAGCCACTGTGCCTAGCCAAAAATATTGTGCATATTTTTAAGCACTGGTTGGCATTAAGTTTGAGGGTTACAGGGCTAAAACAAAAGATGAGATTTTACTACAAAAAGAACTTGGAGGCTCTTTTAGAATTGGATTCAACTTTCTTCCTGCTATAGAGACTATAGATTGCTTGATTTATGATGCGAGATTTGATTCTTCATGTCATCTTGCCAACACAGCCGCTGCAGTTGTCTTGTTACTCCAGCTCTTTACCCAGCATACTGTTTGCCAGTTGAATGTTATTCAAGCCAGAAGTTTGGCAAAACACTTTGGTACAATAAAAATATATTTAAGAATTTAACATTTTGGCTTTTTATTGTAGTATTGAGTAGGGAATGGGAAATTAGCCAATGATAGGACTACTAGGGTCTACATTCGAAAGAACTTTTATAGCACAATCTTTTGGTAACTTATTTGGTTGAGGACGTACTAAATACAAATAATCATGTGGGAATTTGGTGAGCTATGGTAATGAATATGACGTGAGATGACTTCAGAGGAGTTTGCAGTTCCGTAGTAGAGACAGACACGTGTAGAAAATCCTGTATTGGTCTTCTTCCTTGTTGACCGTAGTGCTTTCAGTGGGGTGCATCTCATTAGAACGTTGTGATTGGGACATACAAGTGGAAGGTTTCTTTAATGTCTGGTTCCCATATCGGTGAGACATAGCCTTAATGTATTATTCTCCAGAGGGGCAAACCATCCAAGACTATTTTAGAATTAAGGACTTGCTGCTCTGGTTACTTGGTCACTGTTGAGAGGATGTGTTGGAATGACATAGCAAACCATGAGATGATGGTTTTGGAAAAACATCAGCCGAGTAAGTTATTTGGTACTCTGCCTTAAAAAAAAAAAAAAAAAAAAAAACTGAGCCATAAATATTCAAAAAAGTTTGTATGCACAGAACACAAAATTCCAAGAGAATTATTTGTTTCCTACCCTAGGAGTCAAAAGTGTTTGTTTAGAATAATGTGTAAGAGTTTCTTACCCCGCCCCCAGGATTACCAATTCCTTTAACAATGCCCTTTATTTGTGCATCAGTGCTAGTAGGTTTTTCTTTTAATCAGAAATAATTTTGGTGAGCGTGTCTATGCACACAGAAATAGCTACTAAGATCATTAATATTTTATTGTTGAAAGCAGTTTTATCTTATAATCACATTTTCATTTGATGTTTTTAGTTTTCTGCTTCTCTCACATAAATGCATGGTGTCGAGAGAGGCACAAGTATTTTTGTCTCTAATATCTTAAAAATTAGGATTAAGTGCATTCTGTATTGTTTTGTATTCACAAAATAGTTTTGAAAAAGCTTGAGATTAAGTGAAATTTGTATGTTTTTAACCATAGTTTTTGTGGGACAAATTTACGCTTTATCTCTTTGGTTTAGATGTGGTTGACATATTGATGCATGTATTCTCTTTATTCTGTAGGCTTTCTTTTTCCTTAGAAATGAAGTCACATTCAGTAGTTAAATAATACTTTACTCAAAAGTACAGTGATTTGAAAATAACCTTCAACTGTCAGAAGAGGCTGAACTTGACTGAAATGTGGCCTCCTAACTGAATATTGCACATGAATCTTAACAGAAGTTATCATAAACATTTAAATATTTGCACTTGGTATTTAGACATTGATTTTCACCAATAACTGAATAGATATAAAGCCTATTTTTCTTCTTTAGCCCTCATGAATATCAATTCAGTTTGTTTTTTGTTTCTTCTGGGTGATTCATAGATGAATGCCTAGTGTCTTCATTTGCAAGCTGTTCATGGAAGGAAGCCACTTTTCTGTTGCCTCTGTAACCATTGCAGGGCCTTCAATAGCAGCCTTCAGACACTAGGCATGCATTCAGCATTGGAATAAATAGGATAGCCAAGGGTAGCTAATTATTTTCAGGTTAATTCCTAAAGAGTTAATTTGCACTGCCTTGCCCAAAATCAAACCAGCAGAACATTTTATTAAGCAAGGCTTTTGTGTGAGTGGTATGGAAGCACTGAATCAGTTGCTGTTTCTTTTAATCTAAATTATCGTCATTTTGAGCTTTATATTAATACACTGGCTGAGTAACTTTGTTTAAAAGAAACCTAGGTAAATTGATAGTTCTATGTTCTAAATTCTTCTGAATAAGAAAACAGTGATCTGCCAGATGAAAAAGGCAATTCAGAATGTGACATAACTTCTGTTGAGAGATTTTTGTTGAAAATTGGGAAGTATGAATTCTTCACAGACTTTCATAAAATATTTCAATACTCTTATTTTTAAAAAACCTTGAAAAGTCAGAAATCAGTTAGAATAATTGACTTCTAGGCATAGAAAAATTCATTTAAATTTTATTTATCCTGGATGTCTTCTTTTTTAGCATAATACACCTAAAACAGATATTCCACTAATATAGAGTGATTGAAGTATTCAGAGGAAGATTGCATTTTAAAGCTATAAAGAACATTTAAGAGTAAATGTGGAAAACAGTATGCAGATTTCTTAAAAGAACTAAAAGGATACCTGCCATTCAATCCAGCAACCCCACTATTTGGTATCTACCCAAAGGAAGAGAAGTCGTTATATCAAAAACACACCTGCACGCATAGGCTTACTGCAAAAAAAATTCACAACTGCAAAGATATGGAATCGACCTAAGTGTCCATCAACCAATGAGTGGATAAGGAAGATGTGGTATATATGCACCATGGAATACTACTCAGCCATAAAAATAACGAAATAATGTCTTTTGCAGCAACTTGGATGGAGCTGGAGGCCATTGTCCTAAGTGATATAACTCAGGAATGGAAAACCTAATATTGTTATGTTCTCACTTACAAGTGGCAGCTAAGCTATGGGTATGCAAGGCATACAGAGTGGTATAATAGATTTGGAGACTCGCAAGTGGGGAGAGCGGAAGGGGTATGAGGGATAAAAAGACACATATTGGGTACAACGTACAGTGTTAAGATGATGGGTGCACTAAACGCTCAGACTTCAGCACTGTACGCTTCATCCACGTAACCAAAAACCACTTGTACCTCAAAAGCTATTAAAATAAAATAAAACATAAAACAAAATAAAGAGAATATATAGCCTACTTCCTTAGGTTTTATAGTCAAAGCACCACTGATTTAGAATCTAAAGGCCTGGCCTCAGGTCTGATTCTGCTACTTTACATCTGTGTGACCTTGGGCAAGTCTCTTAACCTCTCTGAGCTTCTGCTTCTTAATCTGTTAAAAAAAAAAAAAGCATAATTTGTCTTATCCTTGTTTTGATCAAATGAATGAGTTCTGGGAAATCCATCCAGCTGGTCAGTGGAATCCACGTGCGAGCACAGCAAGGCCTAACGAATTTGCTGACGCTCCTCTGACCACCTAGCTTCACAGATGGGTGGGCAGCCAGACCTACAACCCAACCCACGTCTGCCAAGTCCCAGCCTTTCCATTCACCTTTCAAGGGAAGAAAACTTCTCATGTATTGGAAAGCACAGTGCCTCTAGTGCCTCTCTTTCTTGATTGTTGGAGTTGGGTCTCTCAGCATTGTGGTTCACTACGACAGAGCATCGCTTTTAACAGCCACATAAAATAACCCTCTTGGGTAACACACTCAAGAGGCTTCGTGAACTCGGGAGGCAATCTGGGCAGGCTTACAGCTGTGTGACAACACAAACGCTGTTTATTTGAGTGTTATCAGGAAGATGTGTCACTGTCATGGTTGAATATGGAGAAACAGGTGCCCGCCTCGGAATGGCTACCCAAGTCAAGGAGGACCCAAGGCTAATGTGGAGACCACGTTCCTCCCTGGAGTACCGGGGTTAGGCAGGGCTTGAATGAGGTGCAGCGAGGCCGGTGAAACACAGCAGTACCACGTGTCTTATGTCACATCAGCAATGCAGGTCGCGCTCGTCACAGACATTTCAGATGGAGCTGGGTATTATATTCCAGTCCTGGCATTTATTATGGTCACCACCAGCACAGAGCGTTCCTGGCCTGGTGCTGTCTGGTTTCTGGAATACAGGCCATCCTTCCTGATATTCTAAAGCCTGCCTCCCACCCTCAAAGAGTCAGACGGCAAGTTTCCATCCACCCTCCCAGTTCTCAGCCTTTGAAGGTGAGAAGCTCCTCTTCTAGGGGCCGCTGTCAGAATCTCAGGGTTTGGCACTGTTGCGCTCGCCTCCATTCCCCAGGCTCCTCGACGGCCTTAGATGCTTAAACACGCTGCTGCCTCTCATCTCTGGACCAAGGCTTTCGTTTCCCTGTGAGTAGACAGCACTAAGGCACGGGGTTAGTTTAATGATGCAAGTCAACTGGGGAGCCTTGCTGCTATAGAGATACCCTTTGTATGTTTACTTTAACTTCTTGCATCAGTCAATTCAGGCTGTTGTAGCAGAATACCACAGACTGCACAGCTTAAGCAGCAGCAATGTATTCCTTATGATTCTGGAGGCTGGGGAATCTGAAGTCAGTGTGCTGGCGTGGTCAGGTCTGGTTTGTAGATGGCTATTTTCTTGTATCCTCACATGGCAGAGAGCACAGAGCAGGCTCTTGAGTCTCCTTAGAAGGGCACTAAGCCCATTCACCCTCATGACCTAATTACCTCCTGAAGGCCCCCCTCCTAGTGCTGTCACATTGGGGAGTTAGGATTTCATTGTATGAATCTGGGGAGACACAAACATTCAGCCCATAGCACTTCCCCAGCCGTGCAACACAGGTGCCCTTTGGTGGTGTTTGCATAGGTCATGGCTGCTGATAGCCACCGTGTGTTGACTGCCCACTCTGTGCTTGACGCTCTGCTAGAGGCTCTTTATGTTGTCTTTAATCCTCACTTCAGTGCTGCAAGGGCTGTGTTATTCCCAGCTGACATATGAGCTTCCAGGAGTTTAATGGATGGAAGCTCAGCTGGCACATGGTGGAGGCAAACCCAGGGATGTCTGACTCATTCGAATGTTTCTTTCGTTAAGTTAAGTCTTCCATTCAGGAAACCAATATTGCAAGTTCAACGTGTGAAAATGTCACTAGGCTCCACGGTGCTAGAGAGGTGGATCCTGATGATGTCCTGTGCTCACGGCGCTTACTTTGATTGGCACCCAGAGAGAAGACATGAGCAACACTGGTTGTGTTCAGATGAGAGACAGTGCACCTCAAGGGAAGTGTTGGTGAAGTCCTCAGAGGAAGGAGGAACGCAAAGGCCTGTGTTCAGAACACCGTGGTGCCCTGAGAACAGCTGCCAAGGATGCTCGCTGGGAGCCACAGGCCACCAGGGGGAAGCGCCAAGGCCGTCTTTCAAGATGCAGTTACATCATCACTGAGCAGCACCAGCTCAGGGCTGCTCCAGCAAGCCTAGACCCACCCTGCTTCCCTGCGCCACTCCCCAGGGCCTGCTCCACACCACCCACAAAAGGCAGGCGGACAGTGGAAGAACACTCCAGGCCCCCAGCTCCAAAGGCTCAGATAGCCGCTGTCGTCAAAACCTCATGTCAGGCTCTGTTTTTCTTTCCTTTCTTTTCTTTTCTTTTCTTTTCTTTTCTTTTCTTTTCTTTTCTTTTCTTTTCTTTTCTTTTCTTTCTTTTATTATTTCTTTCTTTCTTTCTTTTTTTTTTTTTTTTTGAGATGGAATCTTGCTCTTGTTGCCCAGGCTGGAGTACAGTGGCATGATCTCAGTTCACCACAACCTCTACCTCCCAAGCTCAAGCAATTTTCCTGCCTCAGCTTCCCGAGTAGCTGGGATGACAGGTGCATGCCACCACGCCTGGCTAATTTTTGTATTTTTAGTAGAGACAGGGTTTCTCCATGTTGGTCAGGCTGGTCTCAAACTCCTGACCTCGTGATCCGCCCACCTCAGCCTCCCAAAGTGCTGGGATTACAGGCGAGAGCCACCGCACCCAGCCTTTCCTTCTCCCTTTCTTACCCGACTTCCTTGGAATTGGTATTCAGGACCTTCCTTTTCTCCTGGTATCTGCCCAGTGATCCAGGACAGCGCTCAGCTCCTGGTAGCCCTGGGCTCTGTGGTTTCAGGCTGGGTGCATCTGTTCCTGTGCCCTGATCTCAGCCTGGCCCAGCTCCTTGGCCTCTCCACCCTCCACTTCCCTTGGAAGAAAAAATGGGGGTAACGGTAAGGAGGTGCTCTGAGTAAAGCAGTTTCCGGGTCCAAAATAATTCAAAGAAATGAAGAGCAAAAATCACAGTACAAGTAGTTTAGCTTTTCCTCAGTTAATCTGCCATAATATTAAGTAAAGCTAGTTTTAAGTATTTAGGCTCTAATGAATTCCATGTACTAAGTTGCCTGGCTGTTTTCTAATACATGTTATTTGAAGATTCTCTTGAAAATTGCTTATATCATGCTGCTATGTTACAAGAACATGGTTTTCACGCATTCTGGTATGGAATGTGTATGTTGCTGTCACTTATTTAATAATAATAGTCACAATTAATCAGTACAAATATTTATGGCCCTAAGTACCCTGAGATCTGTTGCTTGATACATGTCTGAACATTTTGGACAAAAAGAGGCCAGTGTGGGACAATGAGATAGCCTTTTAATAGAGAGATTCTTTTCTCTTAACAATGATCTAGGGGTTTTCGGGGGGAAACACACACCCCCTTCTCCATCGGGACCGAAACTGCTCTTGTCCGTGTGTTCTGTCACACGTAGATGAACAGGCTTTCAACACCTGCACTGGATTTTATAATGCATTGGGTTTGGTTATTGTCATTATTGTTTTTACCAGTTTATTTATTCATTATGGTGCTAGCCACAAAGCTTATGCATGCTGAGCGTGGGTTTCAAATTTTGAGTTTTTTTGAAACATTCAAGACACGGAAGTGGGCATCACAGGTCATGAGTTCTGTTCGATAATGATGTCACTGGTCACCCATGTTGCTTTTGACTTGGTAAAAGAAAAATTGTACTTAGGAAAAGCTGCCCTCATATAATGTGTACTCATATGGTAGTTAAATAAGTCCAGTCAAGGGCTGTAAGACAGCCAATCAGAATCTTGTTTCTAAATGGGCATGTTTCTAAACTGGTCTATGATGTGCTAATGGACAGAATTTTGCATTTGGAAAATTGCCATCACAAACTCTTGAGCCTTCCATTCTTAAACCAGTTGCAAGGGGCTTTACCAAACTGACTTATCCAGGTTACAGATATAACAAGTTCCTGTAGGTAATGGCTCTCATACTAGACTGCAAGTTTTTTTTTTTTTTTTTTTTTTTTTTTGAGACAGAGTCTCACTCTGTTGCCCAGGCTGGAGTGCAGTGGCACAATCTCAGCCCACTGCAACCTCTGCCTCCCAGGTTCAAGCAATTCTCCTGTCTCAGCCTCCCAAGTAGCTGAGACAGGGACTACAGGTGCATGCCACCGTGCCTGACTAATTTTTGCATTTTTTTTGTTTTTGTTTTTTTAGTAGAGATGGGGTTTCAACCTATTGGCCAGGCTGGTCTTGAACTCCTGACCTCAGGTGATCCGGCCGCCTCAGCCTCCCGAAGTGCTGTGATTACAGGCATGAGCCCCCTCGCCCGGCCTCATACTTCATTGTTTATAAGCGTGTACTGGGCACATTGTGAAACACAAACGTTCTCCCACCCTGTCCCCAGAGACTCCAGTTCAGAGGGTCCAGGAATCTGCATTTGACGTGCACACCCGGGGGTTCTAAGGCTATTTTTGTACCATCATTTTGAGAAATACATGAAGCTATTTCAAACACTCCTCATAATGTCAATTAGTCTTCTCCTTCTGTCCTAGGAACTAGATAATTATTATTTCTTTTGTCCAAAATCCTTTGGATTATACAAATGCATTATATCTGGAGGCAGTAATTAAGCTCTGGCCTGGCCCACTTTTCTCCAGATAAGTACACTGATTACCTTCGCGTTTCCTTACAGGTCCAACTTTCCAACAAAATCATCACTGTTTGCTTTCCTTTAGGCCTACACGTTCTTTTCCTCTGTTACACAATGTCTGAAGTAAAACAAAGATTTCTGTCTTTCCTTTCATGTTGTACATGTTGTGACTAAAACACATGCCTCAGGTCTCAGTCTATCTTAAACTGTGGTTATTTCTTTAAAATCCATTTTACCTATAAGAACAATAAAGGCGTCTTCAGGCTTTTTAAACCTGTAACAATTTAAAGACATTGGGTCATAAAATAATGTTTAACCTGGACTGATACAATTAAAATAAAACATTAACAGTCTGAATTTTGTTTAAGATAGAAACTTAGCCCTCTTGTTCCTGGTATGTGCGACTTCATGAAAACCCAAGTTTCGCTACTTAAAGTGCAGACTATGTTTCTATAGTTTCAGGTAGAAATTATTTGGAAATGTACCATGCTGCTGTAAAACAAACAAAAAGCCACCCTAAGCCCGTATTTTCTCCTTTTGTGACACTGCAGAGTTATAGTTTCCACACAGATATCGTGCCTGCAGGGCCTTTAGAAGCATGTGGCTGCTGGCTTTCACCCTGAAGGTCCAGACTGCTGGACTCTTCAGCCGCCGCTTCACCCTTCCCTCTCTGCTTGCTGCTGGCTTTGGGGTTGGGATCTGCTTCCCACTCTCCTGCATCTGACGTGCTCTTCCATTTTTCTCCCAGTCCATCATGGTAAATTCTTGTCTTCATATTCCTTCTCTTCTCCCACCTTTGTTTCTGAGCTGCTCACCTGAGCTGTGGGAGTGCAACTGGGATCATCAGCATTTTCCAATCAAAGTGCTCTTATCTTCTGATCAGCAAAATAACCCATCACAGAAATGACTGAATTAATGACTCTCTAGACAGTTGAGTCTCTTCCACGTTTTTGATCAGGGCCTGCTCATACTCAGACATTTCTTGTTTGTTGTTGTTGCTTTTATGTTCATGGCTGTTCCCAAGCAGAGAGAATTTATTTTATTCTATTTTTATTTTTATTTTTTGAGATGGAGTCTCGCTCTGGTCACCCAGGCTAAAGTGCAGTGGTGCAATCTCGGCTCACTGCAACCTCTGCCTCCCAGGTTCTCAAGCAATTCTCCTGCCTCAGCCTCCCAAGTAGCTGGGATTACAGGCACACGCCCTTATGCCCCATTACTTTTTGTATTTTTAGTAGAGATAGTGTTTCACCATGTTGGCCAGGCTGGTGTTGAACTCCTGACCTCAGGTGATCCACCTGTCTCAGCCTCCCAAAGTGCTGGAATTACAGGCATGAGCCACCATTCCTGGCTGAGAATTTCATTTAAATTGTGGATTACTAGGCATTAATTATGTTTGTGTGAGAGAGAGTGGCAGAGGGACATTGAAAGAGCAACAGGGACAGAGAGACAGAGAGAGAACAAGGAGAAGGAGGACGAGAGAGAAAGAAAGAGGGAGGAATGGGAGGGGGTACTGAGAGATCACACCAAATTCATTGCACGTTCCTGTGAGTTGCTGCCACACGCTGCACTGGGCCAACGCTTTCCCACCAGTTTCACTAGTGGAGATGACCTCATCGGATCCTCTTTGCCATCTTCTGTGAGGTTGGAACCATGCAGAGTCCTGCATTTTCCTCCATCTACCCCTAAGTCCTTGTGTTAATTATGATCTGTGTTGGCTTTTATCACCTTTGTGGAAAGAGAAGAGCCACCAATAATGAAGACTGAGTAAATGAGCCAGTGAAACAGAGACGGGGATGTGCACCCCCCAGGCTCCTGGATGATTATTGACGGACACGTGTCAGCTGCTAAATGTTATTTAAAACTTGTTCTTGCCATCCTATCATCATTTGCTGTCCTCCTGAATATGGAAATACAATGATTAGAAGGCTGTTTTACCATCCTGAGATATGTGCACCATTGATTTTGTAATTTGTTGCTACCTTCTACTTATAGTAAATGGTCCATGATACATAAAAGAAATTTATGTCAGAGCTTTTCACAGTGAATAAATATTAGGAAGAAAATACATTTAGACAATAGAAGGAAGCAGTGTAATGGGAGATCCTGCAGTCATGTATGTGTCGTTTATTTTCTCCCAATATTTTTTATAGTAGCTGTGTGAATATCTTACTTTTTACGGTGCTCAATTCCACATTGGCCTGATATTTGACATATTTTAAGGCACAGTGGGAGAAGGAACCAATCCTGACCTTTCTCTAGGCACTTTTCTGATGTCAGTAGATGAACTGAATAATTAATATCTGACTTCTTCTGGAACTTATTTGAGGTGGCTTACAGAATCCTCCCCTGGCTTCCTATTGTGTTTTGGATAAAAGGCAAGACCAGTGGCACGGTCCACGAGGCTGGGCCTGGTTTTCTTTGTGCCTGTCTGTCCAGCTTCATCTCGGATGCTTCACGCCTCACTCCTGACATGTAGCCACACATGCACCAGGTTACAACCGCTCCATTGCATGGGAAACCTGCCCCAGCTGGTCACCACCTCCTTCCTGTATACTCTTCAACTCTCAGCTCAAATTCTCTTCCTCAGAGCACCCTTGCTTGCCCCAACACCTCAGTAAAAATCAGCACATGCCCCATCATTATACGCCCTCTTGACACATGGAATTCCTGCCCACTGCCCCACCTCACAGTGTCACTGGGTTTGCCTGAGGTCTCTCCCACCGCGTGCAAGTGTAGGGATGTCTCTTCAGTTCAGCACGTTAGGCCAATGCTCACTGTCACAACATTGGTATCCAGTACACGTGGTTAACCATTGCTATTGTGAAATATTATAATGCAAAAACTATGGAACATGTAAACTCACAGCTTAATGGGTGAGTGTAACCTGAATTTCCTAATGTGAAATAGCCCATTCAGGTCTAGAAACAGAGGACAGCCAGTACCCCGCAGCTCCTGTACCTTGACTTCCTCTTTCCAGTGGCAACTTCTCTCTCCCCGTTGAGTTATGCAGCATCCTGGATTTCATGGAAATGTCTTTCTGGCTTGTCTTCATGAACTTACGTGTGAACCACTCACTTAGTGTAGTTTGCCCACTGTGGAACTTTTTACAAAAAGAAATATTCATCTTATATTCTTTACTGTCTGATCTATGTCACTTAAAATTATATTTGTGAGGTTCATTCATGCTGTGCATGTAGTCAGAGGTTGTGATTTGCATGGCTATATGGCATTCTGTTACATGGAATACACCACTCTGGTAGACAGACCAATGACACCCCATGAAGATGTCCGTATCCCATTCCCTGGTACCTGTGACTATGTTAGCTTCCCTGACAAAGGAGACTAAGGTTACAGGTGAATAAAGATAGTAAGATTACTCATCAATTGCCTCTCTGCAGCCAATCATTTCTCTGATGCTATTTGTTTTTCCATTATACTGGATTATGTGAAAATTCTGATACTAGGCTAATAGCTGTTTAACATGGATCTAATGAATAGATTCCATTCTAGGCCAGCTATAGTTTAAAAATACTACAGCTTTCTTTTTGAGTAATTTGATACCTAAAATAGTGAAGACCTCAGGAAGAGCCCATCCTCTTTGAGACCCGTGAACATTCTGCCGTGCCAACTGTCTTGGCTGGCATTTGCTTCCCCTTAAATTAGCTTCCTCCTGTCACAGAGGGGCCCATACTACAAGGCTGGTGGATGATGACAAATTTGATTCTTGAAAATCTGTTAAGGTAATTGCAAAATTCCACTCAGTTTCCCTGGGAAAATAACTCTACCTGCTAGTAGAATCACCAGCCTTTTCAAAGAAAATGTATACATCAAATTAGCAAATTAGTTATTTTAAAATTGTAAACCAAAGGCCAGGTGTGGTGGTTCATGCCTGTAATTCCAGCACTTTGAGAGGCTGAGGTGGGCGGATCCCTTGAGTCCAGGAGTTCAAGATCAGCCTGGCCAACATGGCGAAACCCAGTCTCTGCTAAAAATACAAAAATTAGCTGGACACGGTGGTGGACGCCTGTAATCCGTGTTACTTGGGAGGCTGAGGCAGGGAGAAATGTTTGAACCCAGGAGGCAGAGATTGTAGTGAGCCAAGATCACGCCACTGCACTCCAGCCTGGATGACAGTGAGACTCCATCTGAAAAAATAACATAAAAATAAAATAAAACTAAATTAAATTGTAAACCAAGAGTGTTGTTGGAATTTCCACCTAGTCTTCGAGTGTAAGTGTAGCTAGAATATGCCGCAGACACAGGAGCATACCCCTCAGGAACCAGGGAGCAGGCGCTGGATGAAGCATCAATGCTTGCTGTACATTCGGCTTTTGTTTTTGAGTTTCAGAAACCCACTCAAATTAGTTTAAGTAAAATGGAAAATGAAATATCTCCTAAAGGCTGGGCACTGTGGCAAATGCCTGTAATCCCAGAACTTTGGGAGGCCAAGGAGGGTGGATCACAAGGTCAGGAGATCGAGACCATCCTGGCTGACACGGTGAAACCCCGTCTCGACTAAAAAAATACAAAAAAATTAGCCGGGCGTGGTGGCGGGAGCCTGTAGTCCCAGCTACTCAGGAGGCTGAGTCAGGAGAACGGCGTGAACCCAGGAGGCGGAGCTTGCAGTGAGTCGAGATAGCACCACTGCACTCCAGCCTGGGTGACAGAGTGAGACTCCAACTCAAAAAAAAAAAAAAAAAAAAAAAAAAAAGAAAAGAAAAAAAGAAATATCTCCTAAAGTAACAGGAGTGCATTATTAAATCCAAGGGAAAAATGCATCCAGGCCTCAGGAGGAAAAGTACATCAAAAATGGAAAGCCAAGAGGAGCTCATTCTGTCTCTTTGAGCTTCTTACCTTTTTGCCTTTGTCTCTTTGCTTTTCATTCTCTTTGGTTCTGAACCTCTCTACTTCATTCCTCTCATTCTGTAAATCTGCTTTATTTCCTTTGGAATCTTTACACCATATGGCAGCAGGCACTTAACTTCCCTCCCCACCTTCCGTTCTCATGGTTTGTGACAGCAGCCAAGAACGACTTGGAATATTTTAATCTCACACCACAAATCCTGGAGCAGACTTTTGACCTAGGTTAGGCCAATTAATTGTCTCTGGCTGAGGAGGAGAGGAGGGGGCTCACAGACTAGAAATGTGGCTTCCAGGGCCCATGGGTGGAGGAGGAGGGCAGCTCCGATCATTCTGACTGGGATGCTCTTCACAATGCCTCTGTACCGTGCTGGAACATTGTACCAGGGTGGCAAGCCCTTTTTAAAAAGTGAGCTCCAATTACTTTAGTCTCTGCCATTCAATTGCTGGTGGTTCTTGCCTTTGAGGCTAGTTTGTTAGTTACTTAATATTTATTGAGTGCCTGCAGGGATTTTTGACATTGAGAAGTGATGTGTTGAGCGTGCCAAAAATCTACCCAGTATAGAAAACTCATCTCAAAATCGCCTGTGGGTTTCAGAGAGTCTATGCAAAAACAGCCATTATCTAAACATGCTTTAAGACGCTGTTATCATACACAGCAAGGTGAAAGATACAAATGCTCAATTTTAAATTCTGCAGCTTACTTCATAGCCATCTTTTCACTGAAAGGGATTTCTCTTGGGCCTGATGTGTTGTGACATTTTTTTCTGTGGATGATCAGGTCACAGTGCTGCTGCTTTTGGAAATATATAGAACAACTTGATACCTTTAAAACATTATATCAAAATAGAACCAAAGTAGACTGAGCCCAGAAAGCAAGACTAACTTACATTTTGAACTAATTTCATAAAAGAATCTATCAGACCCAGTCAATTAAACTGAAGAGCCTAAAATAATTTGAACCTGATGTTGGAATTTGCAGGTAAAAATAATCAAGAAGAAATGTTAACAGATAGCTATTGCATCAATAATTTGCCTGTTTGTTTTCTAGAAGGATTGATAGGGCAGAAGTTAATTCTGAAAACACAGTTTTGCTGACCTTCAAGTAGAGGGCTGACAGCTGCTTTAGCAAGGGTGGTGGGTAGGATTTCAAACTGCTGTGCCCTCAGGCAGCAACATCAAGTCATGTTATGTAAAATAGGCAACTTCAGAAGTTCCCAAATGTATTTGAGAAAAGTAGGGTGGATCCCAGGTGAGTCCATGAGGCGCATACGGAAAGGGTGTGGGAGAGCCCTGGGAGAGCCTGAGCAGTGAGACGTCCCTTCTCCACATGGAGGACGTGGTGGACACTGCCCAGGGGAAGAGGGGCACCCGCAGGTTTGTGTCTGGATGTACCGGAAACATTGGCTCCTCTGCTTCCACTAAGATGATGATGATGATGTATAATTAATTGCCAGTCCTCGAAAGTTGGGCAGGTTAACCAAAATTAACTTCTAATTAATGAAATAAACGGAGGTGTTGGGGAAGGTGGGATGACATCGTCTTCCACCACCACCACATCCCATTCCCGCATTGGTTGCTTCAGTCTTTCTGAAAGGGCTGCTCAGCTGCCCACGCCTGCAGTCTCTGCAGTTATTCACATGGAGGCGGCATTAATTCATACCTTGCGGCCATATCCATTATCCCTCCCTCACCCCCACTACTAGCAAAAGCACCCCGGAAGTACTCACAAGAAACAAAGTGACAGTCACAAGGAAAGGAGCATCTCGGGGAGTGGGAAAGCTTCCCCTGCTAAGTACATGCAATGCTTTATTGGACGATGAGTTAGGGTCCTCTTGCTCCAACAAGACTGGCTTGCGTTTCCACCTCCAGCCAGCATTGTGAATCCCAAGTAGCTGCTGATTTATATGTATCCTCTGGAATTATTTAAAGCTATCAATTACCTAACCATGGGTATAGTTATATCGTAGAAAAGGCCACTTTCCATTTTGGGAGCGAGACATTGTCTTCTAGTCTTAATATACTTCTGCAGGCTGCCTGATAGAAGAAGAGATTGATTGGTTTAAAGATAGATTGTTATGAGAGAAATAATTTACTTCACTTCCTCCTTCCCTAGTGAGAAGGCCATCTGGTTGACCCCTCTGCCTTTAGCTAAGGGACATAGAATGCACAATTGCCAGCTGTCCCCAATGTGGCTGGCAAGGCTGGACCTCAGCTGTCCCCGGGGTCCCTGCTGTGCTGCCCCCGATTGCTCCAGTCTTCTCCTGCAGGGGTGTGTCTTTAGGAGGAGGCTTTGGTTGATCGTGAAATCATCCTCCAATCTCACTTCTGCTGGAGGTGACTCCTTCTGTCCCTTTAGCTGCGTAAGGCCAGACTTACATTACATGAAACAAACACGTCATGGGATGTGTACCCGGAACATTCACAGTGGTTATTGGCTGCTTGAGGTATGCATCACTTTACTGTGGAGTCACAATTATGGATCCAATAACCTGGATCACTCTGCTTTGAGGACCCAAAACAAATTAAATTTCTGATTTCCCCTCATTAAAGCTCAGGATGCAACAAGAAGTTGGAGGATCACAAGTGGAATGTGACCACTCTAGCCCCTTCCCTTTCTTTATAAAGAGTAGGAAATGCAATGCACTTTCGAGTTCTTTCTCTATTACATATCATATGTTGCTAAAACATTACTTGGTGGTGATAGCAATAAATAGTAAATTAGTATCTTGTGTTTCTATAATTTTTATAAATTATAGTGTGCTTTCAAATACATTTACATTTAATCCTGATAACACCTATGCAATCAGTTCCTTTTGTGTCCCACTCCTTTCCTCCTTGCAGCGTTCAAAAATCGTCTCCAACTTAGAGTTCTCATTTGAATCTTCTCCTCTTCATAAGGCACAAAGTCTGATAAAGGTAGCAAGCAAGGCAAATCCATGAGAGATACGAAGCTCAGGCCAAGATGAGACGTGTCAGATTTTAACAGAGAGGAGAGAACAGGGATGCATAACCTGACAGAGAGGCGTGGGCTCTATCAGCTGTAGCTGGGGAGAAAATTAAAGCGGCCTGCATTAGGGTCCTCCTTGAATCAGTTCATAGACATTGTGGTGTCTACAATTATTATCTTAATCTGGGTTTCTTGCACTCGAGATACAAAATTGGCACACACAAAAGTCAAGCTGTAATCACAAGTTACTAAGATAATAACATTGGATAAAGGTGAATTTTATGTTTAAAATGACCAAACGACTCAGAAAAGGTATAGCTTGGTTTTAGTTCGTTGTTTGTTTTATTTTTGCCTGAGTTAAAAATAAGTATGAGCAGCAGTGATGTCGCAAAGGACAGGATTGCCAACTATGCGTGTCAGTTTGCATTACATCTTGCAGAATCCATTGCTGCTTATGGCCTCATTCACGCAACTGGGCTTGCATTAACCCTTTGCTTTCTGCATCCATCAATGATTGCCTTTCTGTTACTTCTAAAGGCATTTATCCATCCATTCATCCACTCAACACAGTCTCTGTGCACTATGTTGTCCCAAGTTTTGTACGAGACATTGAGACGTTGAACACAGTAAGGTAACTGTGTCCTTAAGTAGTTTGCCCCCCTGGTAATGACACATGCATTATGATAATATATTAATACTCATACTAAGATAATATATATTAAAGAGATAAATTAATAGTGGAACAGTGTTACAGAAAGGCACTCACAGAGTGTTGTGATTGTGTCCAGGGGGAAAGAATAATGCCGGTGAAACCAGGCAAGACTTCCTACGATGTCAGAGGTGATATTTTAGCTGATAAGTAAAGAATGCAAAGGGATTTGCCTGGCAAAATGAAGATGAAGGGAAATTCCAGGAAACAGAAAAGTTGTAGGGCGTGTTGAGGAAAGGGGACATGGAAGGGAATGACTTGCTCCAGGAACAATAGGGTATGAGCGGAGTAGGGTAGAACTTAGATTTGGCCTAGAGGTAGAAAGAGGACAGACTTGCCATGTCACAGGGGCAAAGGGTGTTTTTTTCTTGAAAACAGAAGGCTAGAGCCCCAGAGAGGGCTTTACATGCAAAAGGGATACATAAATATATCCCGACACCTAGGTCTGTATGACCTTCTCAGAATAACACTGTTGGCTAATATCTTTCTATTGTATGCCCAGAATTCAGCTACTTCCCAGCATACCCACCACTGCCACCCAGGACAGACCTCCATTACCCCTGTGCCTTGTTGGCCGCTCCTGTTCCCACCCTGGTTTCTGCAAGTGTTTCCTCTAAGCAGCTCCCCTGGCCACCTTCCTTAGTGGGAGCCTTATTTACACACTGCTGTGCTCACACCCCTTTCACTCAGAGGTAAGCCGAAGCCTGCACCTGGCCCTCAGGCTCTGCACTCCCTGGCCCCTTACTGCCCCCACTCCTCAGAACAGTCACCTTGCTCTCCCACTCTGGCCACTGCCTCCTTGCTGTCTCCACTGAAGCCTATGCTGTCTCACAGGCCAGGCACCTGCCACTCCCTCTGTCTGGATTGTCTTCTCGGATGTCAGCTCTGCAGATTCCTTCAGTTCTATTCAGATGTCACTTTGCTAGAGATCTCTCTGATGCAAACAGCTCCCAGAGCTCCATTGTCCTGCTTTTCTCTTCTCTTAGTGAGCTGATCTGCTTATTGTTTGTCCCTTCCCCCATTCCTGCACTAGATTACAAGAAAAAAAATGAAAAAAAAAATGAAAGCCATTCAACTTCTGTTGATAACAGTGTCAGTATCTGTTTTATTCATTCTTGTATTCAAGGTTCTCAAAACCTAACCTGGCATAGTAAGCCCTAGATAAACATGTGTTGGATGGATGGATGTGGATTGACAGATACATGGATGGATGGATGGATGGATGGATGGATGGATGAGTGAATGGATGGACGGATGTGGATGAATAGATGGATGGATGGATGAGTGGATGGATGGGTGAATGGATGGATGGATATGTCGATGAATGTGGATGGATGGATGGATGTGGATGAATAGATGGATGGATGGATGAGTGGATGGATGGGTGAATGGATGGATGGATACGTCGACGAATGTGGATGGATGGATGGATGTGGATCACTGGGTAGAAAACTTATTCTTCTTAGAGCAAATGGTTAATTGTGAACATGCTTTTCCATTTTAATGGATCTCCAAAGTATGCATGTGGTAACGGAATAGGGAATATGTTATAGCCTCACTTTCACCATGCTAGGCAAAAAATGTCTCATTCTACTGAGAAATGCACTACTGACACTCAGTGTGCCGGGGGACAACCTAGTGACTTCTCTTGACTTTCATGGAAAGCAGAATCAATCCTACTCGAATTTTCAACAGTTCAACTCCTGCAAGTTAGGAGGAAGTCTGAATGTGGGGAGCCAAATTAGATGTTCAAAGAAGCACATATTAGCTTGCATTCTAACTTGAAAACTGCATCTATGCTGTGGTTGTACCCATTTAAAAATTAAATGTGCATATAGACCAGAAATAGAAAACAATATGAAAAAGGCTTGGCCAGGCGCGGTGGCTCACGCCTGTAATCCCAGCACTTTGGGAGGCCGAGGCGGGCGGATCGCAAGGTCAGGAGATTAAGACCATTCTGGCTAACATGGTGAAACCCTGTCTCTACTAAATAGACAAAAAAAAAAAAAATTAGCCAGGTGTGATTGTGGGCGCCTGTGGTCCCAGCTACTCTGGAGGCTGAGGCAGGAGAATGGCGTGAACCTGGGAGGCAGAGCTTGCAGTGAGCCGAGATCGCACCACTGTACTCCAGCCTGGGCTGGAAAAAAATAAAAATAATTAAAAATGAAATAGAAACAATACTCAAAAGATATCAATTATTTGAGCTAATGAAGATAACATTAATTTTATCATTCTGGTTCATGAATAAGATTTGGTCTTGATGTTCTGTTTTTAATGGTTTCCTTGGAATTTCATCTTAACAGCGTTTGAGGAATGTCAACTGGGCTGTGAGAAATTGCGTGCACTAGGTTGCTTGTATGAATAGTACCACTGAAAGATTCCTGCTAGTCACAGACTTGATGAAAAGGGCTTATTTTCTTTCTGAATTCAGGTGAAATGAAAAGCTGCTGAATTAGCAAGATCTAATTACTTATCCTTGGCCCTGGCCAGTGATTTTCTCCCAAAGAAAATACTACCTAATAGGAAATGAGATTGAATCAGTGTAACTTTCTGTAGCTGTTTTGTTGCTCACGGATAGTCTTACTTTTTAAGTTCTAAAAAGCTACTCTCTGTAGATGAATTAAGTTATAGATGGCAAATATGAAGACTTGTAGAAATTCTAAACCACTGTAGAACTCTTTCCTACTAAGCCTATAATGGCCCCATGAATTTTTCTTAATTTAATAACAAATATAGCCAATATTAAATATTTTGGATGATATTGCATATTGTCTATTTTAGTTTGTAGCAATTTGACACATTCTAAAGAACTTTTAATCTTTGATGAAAATATATTTATGTATTGCATTGTCTACTTTTTAAGGCCGTCTTCATTCTACCTCATTTTGGCTTGGTTACTAAGTTGCAGTTATGTGCACTATAAGAGTGTATTCTCCAGACTATACATGGACAGAAGTGGTCCCTTTGCAGTGTGACCATCTGTCCTTATTTGTTCCTGTATAATTAATAATAATCCATGTGTAACTATTATATTTATTACTTATTATCAAGCATTCATATGATCCTTTTTGTCTCTCAAAGAATCACAGTTTCGACTAAAAGTTATATGATTCCTCTAATTTGCACGGAACTGAAAACTTGGTCTCAGCAGCCAGTACGCGTGATGAATTTCCTAGACTTATGTAGTCTTTAGCACCCTTTAGCAGTGTCTCCAGAGTCCCTCTCTCACCTGCCACTCTTGCTGCAGTGCAAGAGGGTTCTCTGGAAGGGACTGAAACCTAGAATAAGGATAGGTGAGTTGCCCAGTGAAGAGAGACCAGGAAAATCTTGAAACCTTGAATGAGGAGCTATGGAAAAAAGAAAAGCCTGAAGGCAGTGCGATGGGCAGAAGTTGGTGAAAATTGGCACATAGCATGTGCTAAATAAATATTTAAATTTGGTACCCTGAAATAGAAGTTGATCACATGGATGTAAAAAAAAAAAAAGGGAATGATGACAGAGGACTTGGAGCTGAAAAGTTTAATCCTAGTTGGGTTGGATTCAATGAGGGTAAGGAATTTAGCTGTGAAGAAGGAAAGCTCCAAGATGACCCTATACTGCAGAGTCTGGTTTATTGGGAGGAGGAGCATTAGGTTTGCACAAAAGCTGCAAACATAATAATATCAGATTCTTTCTTGAGGTAACATTTGGCCATAGTACAGGAAAATGACAGCCGAAGGCTTTGGGCCACTGAAGGCAGAAGGGTGCAGAAGGGTACAAAAGGGAACTAATAGTAGCTTCAAGAATGGGAAGATGCCTCTTTCACTGTTTTGTATCTTGGTTCTTGATTTAAATGAAATATGTCTATTTGGCTTATTTTATTTCCTTATTTCACTCACTGGGGTTTTCTTTGTTGTTGCTGTTTTTAGGAGCTGGTGGGGAGTAACCCTCCGCAGAGGAATTGGAAAGGAATAGCAATTGCACTGCTTGTCATTCTGGTCATCTGCTCCTTGATCGTCACCTCGGTCATACTTCTGACACCAGGTACTGTATTCATTCTTGGAAAAGCAAGTCGCTGTCAGAGAGAAAGAGCATAATTTTACCTTGCAATTTTTTTCTAAGTAACTACCTATTACATAATTTATTTTTCCCAAGTTCTAATTCTCACTATGCCATATGATATAATATGGTTTCAATTTTAAAAATTCATTTTATATGTTTTGGATTTGTTCACAAAGTTGTTTACTACGTGGAAATGCTTGGCATATATTAAAATTACTTATACAATCACTTATTCATGCTTGATCAACTTAAAGACAGTGGCATAAATATAATGATTTTATATATTTCATAGAATTCCTGGACATTATATCAAGGGTGAATTAAGAAAATTATTAAAACAACATATGTTGAGTGTGAACTAAGGAGAAGGTGCTAAATAGGTACTACTGAATATTACATAAAGTATAAACCAGTGTCATAAATCTCTCAGGAAAGAAAAGACACTAAAATCCACAGAAGAAACCTACAACAAATACAGATATATACATGCACTATTGAGTAAGCCAAAGAGAAGTGCTATTGGAGTTGAGAGGAGAAAGAGAAATCTTTCAAAAGAAAGTTCATGGAGAAGGTAGTACGTAAAGTGGGCTTAATGGAGTAATGGTAGGAATTTAGTAGCCAGAGAGTGGTAGGATTAGGGAGAGAAGAAAGCCTTTGCCTATAAAATAATAATATAGAGCTGGACATGGTGGCTTATGCCTGTAATCCCAGTACTTTGGGGGACTGAGGCGGGTAGATCGCCTGACATCAGGAGTTCGAGACCATCCTGGCCAACAGGGTGAAACCTCGTCTCTACTAAAAATACAAAAATTAGCCAGGCGTGGTGGCAAGTGCCTGTAATCCCAGCTACTCAGGAGGCTGAGACAGGAGAATCGCTTGAACCTGGGAGGCAGAGGTTGCAGTGAGCCATGATTGCGCCATTGCACTCCAGCCTGGGCAACAGAGCAAGACTCCAACTAAAAAATAATAATGATAATATAGGAGTTATCATAGAAAAACATTGTGGCCATAGATAAAACAGTATGTAACTGTTTTATCCGTTCTCATGATCATAGTAGATGCCTATTTGTGCAGGCAAAAAAGTTTTAATTCTCAGTAAATACATACACAAGCATTAGACCTTAAGATGAAAAAAAGTAGATATTATAATATAAAACCTTTTTCCACAGGTACAACAAATGTGGGCAAATTATAATCCAGGCTTAAACTATTACCCCAAAATCTAAATGAGAAAAGGACGATCTGTACCCTGATACCAAACTAGATAAAGATATCACAAGGAAACAACATGCCAATACCCCTTATGAAAATAGATATAAAACTCTTCAACAAAATAGTAGCAAACTGAATCTAACTACATGTAGAAAGATTATACACCATGACCAAATAGGATATATTCCAGGAAAAACAAATTGGCTTGTATGAAAATCAATCAATGTATTATACCTACATTAATAGAATAAAGGGCAAAAAGCACATGATCATCTGAACAGACACAGAATAAGCATGTGACAAAATCCAAAAACCATTTCCTGACAAAAGACTCAACAAGCTAGGAACAGGAAGAAACATCTTCAACTTGACAAGTATCTGTGAAAAACCCAATAGCTAGCATCATACTGAAGAGCAGAAGACTGAAATCAGTCCGCCTAAGACCAGGAGATGGTAGACAAGGATGTTCATTCCCAGCATGGCTATTTAACATTATATTGGAGGGTCTAGCCAGGGCTATTAGGTAGGAAAAACAAAAACAAAAACAAGGACAACCAGATAGGAAAGAAAGAAGTAAACCTGTCTCTATTCATAGAAGACATAATGTTGTATATAGAAAATCTTAAGGAATCCACAAAAAAACCTATTATAATAATAAATGAGTTCAGCAG
Source organism: Homo sapiens (assembly GCF_000001405.40). Classification (NCBI taxonomy): domain Eukaryota; kingdom Metazoa; phylum Chordata; class Mammalia; order Primates; family Hominidae; genus Homo; species Homo sapiens. The sequence continues at coordinate 25,879 of NW_012132919.1, forward strand.
GAAGGAAGATTTCAGACCAAAATGCAAAAATCATTTGCATTTTTAGCCACTAGCTATGAACAATCCCAAAATAAAATTAAGAAAATGATTCCACTTAAAATAGTTTCAAACGGAATAAGATACTTAAGAATAAATTTAACAAAATAAAGAAGTATAAGACTTGTGTACTAAAACTACAAAACAAAATGGAAAGAAATTAAGACCTAAGTAAATGGAAGTATATCTTATATGAATTGATTGAAAGACTTCATATCATTAACATGACAATACTCCCTAAACTGATGTGCAGATTCAACCAAATCTCTATCAAAATCCCTCTTTCTTTCTTAAAGAAACTACAAGTTGATTCTGAAATTCATATGAAAATGCAAAGGACTCATAATAGTCAAAACAATCTCAAAAAACAATTCAAAGACTTATACCTCCTGATTTTAAAACTTACTGTAAAGCTACAGAAATCAAAACAATATGGTACTAGGATAGGTATAGACATATGGATCAATGGAATAGAATTGAGAGTTCAAAAATAAACCCATACATCTATAGTCAATTATTTTTTGACAAGGGAGTCAAGACCATTCAATGAGGAAAGAATAGTCTTTCCACCAAATGGTGGTGGTACAACTAGATATTCACCTGCAAAAGAGTGCAGTTGGACCCCCAACTCGTACCATATACAAAGATGAACTCAATGTGGACCAAAGACCCAAAATATAAGAGCTAAAGCTATAAAACTTTTAGAAGAAAACATAGGGATAAATCTTTGTGACTTTGAATTAGGCAATGGTTTCTTACATGTGACAACAAAAGTGCAAGCAATCAAATAAAAAATAGATAAATTGGACTTCATCAAACTTAAAACATTTTGTGTATCAAAAACACTATCAAGAAAGTGAAAAGACAACCCACCGAATGGGAGAAAATATTTGCAAATCAGGTATCTAGTAAAGGTCTAGTATCTAGAATATATCAACAACTCTTGCTTCTCAAAACAAACAAACAAAAAAACAAATAATTCAATTTAAAAATAGGCAAAGGATTTAAAGAGACATTTCTCCAAAGAAAGACAAATGGCCAAAAAGCATATGAAAAGATGCTCAACATCATTCAGCCTCAGGGTGAATGAAAATCAAATCACAATGAAATACCACTTCACATCCACTAGGATGATTATAAGAACCAAACACAAACAAAAAATGGAAAATAGTAAGTATTCCCAGGATATAGAGAAATGGGAACCTTCTTACATTACTAGTAGAAAGATAAATTGTGTGGCCTCTGTGGAAAATAGTTCAGTAGTTCTCCTAAAAGTTAAACACAGAGTTACCATATTACCTAGTAATTCTACTCCTAGGTATAGACTCACGAAAACTGGAAACATATGTTCATATAGAAACTAGTACATGAGGTTCATAACAGCATTAATGATAATAGCCAAAAAAGTGAAAACAACCCAAATATCTATTTCCCAGAGAATGGATAAATAAATGTGATGTGGCGGGGCGCGGTGGCTCACACCCATAATCCCAGCACTTTGGGAGGCCAAGGAGGGTGGATCATGAGGTCAGGAAGCCGAGACCATACTGGCTAACACATTGAAACCCCATCTCTACTAAAAATAAAAAAAAACTAGCCAGGAGTGGTAACACATGCCTGTAGTCCCAGCTACTTGGGAGGCTGAGGCAGGAGAATCACTTGAACGTGGGATGGTGGAGGTTGCAGTGAGTTGAGATCGTGCCATTGCATTCCAGCCTGGGTGACAGAGCTAGACTCCATCTCTAAATAAATAAATAAATAAATAAATAAATAAATAAATAAATAAATAAATGTGATGTAACCATACAATGGAATACTCCTCCACTGTAAAAAGGAATGAAGAGCTGATCCATGCTGTAACATGAATTAACCCTGGAAACTTCACACTAAGTGAAGGAAGGCTGGCATAAAAGGCCACATATTGTATGATTTCAGAATAGGCAGATCCCTAGAGATAGGAAATAGATTTGTGGCTGCTGTAAGGTAGAGGTAGGGAGAAAATGAAATGATTGCTAATAGGTATGAAATTTCTTTGAAGGGGGATGAAGAAATTATTCTGGAATTTGATAGTGGTGATACATGTATGACTCTGTTAATATTATATATTTTAAAAACACTGAATTGTATACATTAAAAAGATGAACTTTATGATATGTGAATTTCATCTCTATTAAGCTATGAGTTTGATAAAAAGATGGGAAAGCTGTTGGGGGAGAAAAGTGTAACCTGGCCACAAAAGTGCCAGACATACTAAATTGCCTTAAAAACTTGTGTAACTCCAAAGAGGCTTCAGGAGCAGTTCCGGGAGAGAGAGCGTTGCAGTCTCCTGCGTGAGCGAGCTTCGTGAATGGAGCACAGTTGCCTGGAACAATCAGGCTGAGGATTCAATCCAGTGCTTCAATGCCCAGGAAACAGATCCCTGCACCTGCTGAAATCAGATGACCAGGGTTTAGAGGGGCTGGGGGAGGAACTGCAAAGCCAATCCTTGTTTTGTTTTATGGTGGTGGTGCTGATGATCTCACACAGCTGGGGACTTTAACCACTACATATTTCTAACGAATATAGAGGAAGTCAAGTTTTCCTCAGGGTCTGTGGAGCATGTGTTTCTGCCTCTACTTTTCTTTGAGCAGAATTGTGCTTTGTGTAAGAACATGATTACTGCAGATTCGATCTTGTGGTTGTCTGGCACTCCCTTTGGGACTTGAAAGCAGTGGTGTCTAGGGGTTTGCAGTTACTCCCACCTTCCAAGGTGCATGTGAACTTTCATGTCACCCCGGTCCAAGGGCTGTCACGAGTGTCACTCAAGAGTGGAATAAGGCCGGTGTGGTGGCTCATGCCTGTAATCCCAGCACTTTAGGAGGGCGAGGTGGGCAGATCACGAGGTCAGGAGATCGAGACCAGCCTGGCCAACACAGTGAAACCCCATCTCTACTAAAAATACAAAAATTAGCTGGGCTTGGTGGCAGGTGCCTGTAATCTCAGCTACTCAGGAGGCTGAGCAGGAGAATGGCTTGAACCCAGGAGGCAGAGGTTGCAGTGAGCCGAGATCGCGCCACTGCACTCCAGCCTGGCAACAGAGCAAGAGCCTGTCTCACCAAAAAAAAAAAAAAAAAAAGTGGAATTAAATGGCTGCCCGGAGCTTCTTACACCGAAATGTCCACAGCAGCAAAGCGGGTTGAGAACCAGGTCCTGGGACCCTGTCCTCCAAGCTCAACTCCAGGCCTGGCAAGCAGTAGCCCTGCGTCTTCTCCACGCACAGGGAGTGGCGGCAGGCCTCCTCCCTCCAGCACAGCAGCTGACCCTGCCAGCATCTACATTCAGTTCTTTTGCAGCCAAGGCAACCACAGCAGCCTCCCCTCTGCAGTAAACAGAGGATGCAGTTGCTGGGAACTCTTCTCCCTCCATGCTGACGGCCAGTTGTCAGGGGCAACTGCTCCTGGAGAAGCTCTAGTGAATGGCTGAATTCCAGAGAAGGCTTTGGAGGGGAATTTGCTTTTCTTGTTCCATCACAATACACATGCAGCTGAGCCTTGCTTCACCTTTTGGTTCTGCTGGGCTTTCATGGGTGCTGTTTGTTTCTCTGGGCTGTGCTGCCCTGGGATGGGGTGTCCAAGGTTTAGGCCTCTCCCACAGGGCTGCACAGCAAATGTTGCACCGCTGCTCCCGCACCGAGGCCTGACTGCATCCACTCTCCTGCAATACAGCAATGGCTTGTGTTTTGGCATAAAATTCCATCAGGCAGAGGAGGTATCAAATCATTCAACCTGCCACTAGCTCCAGAGCAGTGTCAAATTCACTAATGTACAGAGCAGTGTCACCTCGACAGAGAATGCCTGCCAACAGAGCCAGCATGAATGATCCCGGCTAGGAGCTGAGAACTCCATGCTAAGTGCCAGACAGAATGTGGAAAGAGAAGATGCCAGTACTTCCCATGAAGCTTAGAGTCCACGTAAAGACAATGCATGTGCAAGGAGAATTCCACAGTAGTGTTATCATTAAGTAAAAATAAAAGTCAAAGGCAGGGTGTGGTGGAGGCCTGTTGAGTTGTGTAGATAGTGGAAATGCTGACCTAGAGGGCTGAGATCCTCGCCAAGGCAGGAGTGGCTTCCACCGGTGAAAGTGAAAGATGACAGTCAGTCTTCAACAGTGGAGAATCCAAGTCGTAACCGTCACACTTCGCATATGTTTGCACACAGTGTTGAGTGCGTTCCTACCCAACATTGCTTCCATTTTGGTAGATTTAGTTAGAAATTGTAATATGTGCTTTTTTAAAAAAATAGTATTTTTCAAGTACTACCAGTCTTGTATTCTGGTTTATTGCAACTCAGAGTACAGTATCTGCTTTCTACTTAATTAGAAAATCCATTCTGAACTCACTTGATTCAGTCGTTTTGTGAAAGTGGTTCCTGGTACCCAGGGGCCCCTTGCCACCCCTGTGAGAAGAATCTCATGCGCATGGTGGAGTGCCCTCCTGATGACGCAGACCTGGAAGGGCCTCATGGTAATCACTCTGAACAACAAGGCATCTTGTCCTGGAGTACAGTCTAATTATCACCAGTTATGCACAATTGATGTTTTAGAAATCAAATTAAAAGTGTTCAAGGTGATCTTAGTTCCAAAGGGATTTACCAAGTGAGAATATGTCCCTTTCAATGTTGTCATTCATATCTCCCTTGCTGGTCCATGCTCTTTTCTAAATTTCTTCTCTTTGGAATAATAGGCTCAACGTTACATTTTTTATTTTCAATATTAAATATGTATCTGTCTACAATAGGCCATGCACAGCGTATGCCTTTTGTTAGCAGCTACAGTTCCCGCATTCTGATGGAAACACCGTGACCTTCTCCGGTGCCACAATCGCTGACGTGGGGGTCGGAAACTCCAGCAGGATCGGATTTGCATGAAAACATCCCTGACAATTGGCTTTTATGGAATCTCACATTAGAGCAGGTGGACAGTGGTTTATGCCGGAAACACTAGAACACTTTTAGGTGGTACATCAATGAGAAGCCTTGAATAATTCAAAGTCATAGTGAATGGAGGTTCTGGGTTAAGGCCAAGCACAGGTTATCAGAACACAAGACTCGTCAGTCTTTTGGGTAGAAACGTAACATAGAGATTACTTTTACGGAATTAAAATGTCATCACTGTTTAATGTCTGTGACCGCATTGCCAACCCTCACCTTATCTTTTTAAAATTCTTGAACAAATAATTTCAAAACATTTTATTGAAGAAGGATATACATATAGGATATATATTATATATTTAACATAAATATTATATAGATATTAAATATATAAATATAAACACATGTGAGTAAGCTATTGTTGAATTTTGATGAATTTTAAAACCAAACTTGATTCTGTAATCAGCATCCAGGCCAAAAAAGCAGAATGCAGCCAGCATCCGGAAAGCCCCCCAGGCCCTTCCTATCATTAATCCTCTCAAGGGCAACCTCATTTCTGACATCACAGAGTAGTATTATGAGTTTTTATATTCTTTGCATTTATGGCATAAATGTAATCATCTGGTATGTCTACTTTTATGCCTGCTTTTGTTCTATATGTTTGTGAGATTCATAGTTGTATTTTAGATTGTACTGCTACCCAATTTTTAACCTATATTGGATTATCTTATCATAAAGTCCCACATAATCTCAATGAAAATTGCAAAATAGCTTAACAGTCATTTAATAGCTTTTGTGTGTATCATAAAAAGTAATGCATACCTCCTAATTTTTTTTTGTCTTGTAGAAATAGATGGCTTGCTCCGTATCTTTTGGGCATTTTCTCTCTGTTAGGGCTCCTATATTAAATTCATTCCACAAATTCAATCTTGTTATATTCCATCTACTAACACTGACCATGGCCCAACCCATTTCATCATGGGAAGCACAGGTGGCTTGAGTGGGTTCTGGTATTGTTCATTTGCCCTGGGGCATCTGCTCTGTGAGTCCTGGGCTCCTCCGTGCCTGCTCACACCCATCTGCAGCGGACTGACTGGATTGGGGATGGTGTCTACTCTGATCATGAAACACAGAGTTGTTTTGGCTGCTGCCGATGCTACCACTGTTAATGTTTCTGCCCAAAGTTAACTTGTTAATACTAATCGAGACTGGGTGCTATAAATAGAGGCTGCAGATGATATTCATTATGATGGTCCAAAACATGGGAGAGGCCATTGAGAACAGGATACATTCCTGGAAGGCTTCGTGGAGAATGAGCAATTAGGGACTTTAAAAGATAGATCCAGTAGAGATGGAAGAAAACTGAGAGGGAAAGCCATGAGCCCTCGGGGGACAGAGGACAGTCTGGCCAGGAAGTTGTGGAGGGGCCAGGTGTGGTCAAGAGTTAAGGGAGAAGGAAAGGGATGGTAGCCAATGGGGAGAGCCTGGAGCGCACAGGGCCTGGATTTGAGACTGAACTCTAACTTCTCATACCGTTTACACCAGTGTCCTAACCAGTTTCAGAATCTGATGAAAACTGTAAGTCATCTTATCGTTGGAAGGAAAGAAAGGGCATTGTGTGCACATAAACATTTGGATATGTTGTATTAATATAACGTTTGCAAACCTAGTCAGTCCATCCCAGGGCCATCTCAGGGATCTGCTTGAGCGTTTATCCAAGGTCCAGGTGTTAAAGTTTGTCAGCCAAAATATTTTTGTCTGTGAGTAACAGAACAGCCAACTAAAACTGTTCCAATTGCAGGTGTCCGTATTGTTTCACAAGACAAGTTTAGACATAGCCAGTCCAAGGCAGATTCAGTGCTCGTGGATATTGTCAAAGTCCAGGTGGGCTCCATCTCTCTGCTGCCATCAGTATGTCGACAACATGGTTGTGACGGCTTCATGCTTCACTCGCCCACACGCACAGGAAGGGATGGACACATAGAACTTAGCTTGTGCATCTCACTTCCTCTGTCATGGAGGAAATAGTTTTCTGAGTAGTTCCTTTCGGTTCCCCGGAGCTGCGAGGAGACAGCTTATTTGCTGTAACCATATTGCATGGCTACCTTCACTGGAGGGGGTTGGCAAAGCCCGCCATTTGTAGGAGTCAGGCTCTGCTGAGTCAGAAGAAGGCAGAGAGGCACTGGCTCTTGGGGAAGCAGCCTTCAGTGTCCACCACCACGAGCAAGACCCCTTGATTTGTGAAATCCTTGAGGAATGTGGTCTACATTCCTTGAACATGACCAGTGAATTTGAGTCATTCTTTAAATTGAAACAAATCTTCTCCCTCCAAAAGGAGGGAGTTCTGACAGATTCTCATAGAAGAAATAATTAGGTTACATTGCTACTAACCCTATAGTGAGTTGCAAACTTGCAAACTACTGAAAAGTGGGTCGCTGGGACCATCTTAACCGTCTCTCTTTTGATTTCCCATCATTAATTCTAGAAGGACTACTAGGTGCATCTCGCTTATTTATGGAGTCCTTACACTAAAGAGCCATTTTTCTAAAGGATGGCAGTAGATGCTTATTATTCACACTCGTGTTAAGACTATAAGCTAAGGCAAATGGGTCTACATATTTATCTATAAATGGACACTTTTCAAGTGTTGCTGCATTTTGCATCCTATTTTAAAGGCAACCATGAAAATGAGTAAATCTTATGCTGGGACCCTGGTTTCCTCTGGAGTCTCTTGCCTGCTATAGATGAGTGCCTCCTGGTCAGCTTCAAATTAATTTTGGTGGCCTTAAGGACCATATTTTTACAAGCAGCTGGCTCCTATATTAGTTGCTAGTTTAGTGAAGACTCTGGCAGTCCAGAACCAAAGGCAGCAATTCAGGAGTTTAAGCAGAGTTACCATACCATGTCAGGGTCAGGAACACAGAAAGCTGTGATATAATAAAATCGGAGAACTGGAGAGCAATTCTGTAAAATGAACTAAGCAGGTCGGGGAACTAGGAAGATGAAATTCCAGATTGAAATGGTTCCAAATTCTCTGAACTCTTCACCTTAAGCCCTGCTTGGACAACCATTGATCACTTCTGCAGAAACAGTATATCCATGCACTTTCTCAGATTGCTACTTCATAATCCTCAAATCCCAGATATTCTAAATTGACTCTGTGCATTTAAGTATGGTATTAAAATCACCAGAAGTTCAGTTAAGTGATAATTTGCAGGACCTCCCATTTAATCAGTCTCTTTCTTGCTTTTCCCCTACTCAGATTCTTCATGTCTTTCTTTTTCATTCAGTAAATGTATGATCATTGCAGCCTCAGAGGATGCCTTCTAAAGTGGTGGGTTGGTTGGAAATGGGAGAAAGGCCTTGAAGGATGCGGTAGGCTAAAAAATGCGCCCCCCCCACCAAAAAAAAAGTCCAAGTTGTAATCCTTGGATCCTGTTAATGTTTTCTTTTATGGCCAAAAGGGGGCCTTTTGTGGCTACATTAAGCATCTGAAATGGAGGATTACCCTTAGTTATCCAATGGAACCTCAATGTGATCACATGTGTTCTTATAAGAAGGAAATAAGAATGCTTGTGATTTTTGTACATTGATTTTGTATCCTGAGACTTTGCTGAAGTTGCTTATCAGCTTAAGGAGATTTTGGGCTGAGACGATGGGGTTTTCTAGATAAACAATCATGTCGTCTGCAAACAGGGACAATTTGACTTCCTCTTTTCCTAATTGAATACCCTTTATTTCCTTCTCCTGCCTGATTGCCCTGGCCAGAACTTCCAACACTATGTTGAATAGGAGTGGTGAGAGAGGGCATCCCTGTCTTGTGCCAGTTTTCAAAGGGAATGCTTCCAGTTTTTGCCCATTCAGTATGATATTGGCTGTGGGTTTGTCATAGATAGCTCTTATTATTTTGAAATACGTCCCATCAATACCTAATTTATTGAGAGTTTTTAGCATGAAGGGTTGTTGAATTTTGTCAAAAGTGGGCGAAGGACATGAACAGACACTTCTCAAAAGAAGACATTTATGCAGCCAAAAAACACATGAAGAAATGCTCATCATCACTGGCCATCAGAGAAATGCAAATCAAAACCACTATGAGATATCATCTCACACCAGTTAGAATGGCAATCATTAAAAAGTCAGGAAACAACAGGTGCTGGAGAGGATGCGGAGAAATAGGAACACTTTTACACTGTTGGTGGGACTGTAAACTAGTTCAACCATTGTGGAAGTCAGTGTGGCGATTCCTCAGGGATCTAGAACTAGAAATACCATTTGACCCAGCCATCCCATTACTGGGTATATACCCAAAGGACTATAAATCATGCTGCTATAAAGACACATGCACACGTATGTTTATTGCGGCACTATTCACAATAGCAAAGACTTGGAACCAACCCAAATGTCCAACAATGATAGACTGGATTAAGAAAATGTGGCACATATACACCATGGAATACTATGCAGCCATAAAAAATGATGAGTTCATATCCTTTGTAGGGACATGGATGAAATTGGAAACCATCATTCTCAGTAAACTATCGCAAGAACAAAAAACCAAACACCGCATATTCTCACTCATAGGTGGGAATTGAACAATGAGATCACATGGACACAGGAAGGGGAATATCACACTCTGGGGACTGTGGTGGGGTCGGGGGAGGGGGGAGGGATAGCATTGGGAGATATACCTAATGCTAGATGACACATTAGTGGGTGCAGCGCACCAGCATGGCACATGTATACATATGTAACTAGCCTGCACAATGTGCACATGTACCCTAAAACTTAGAGTATAATAAAAAAAAAAAAAAAGAAGGAAATAGAGGGAGATTTGACACAGACGAAGGAGGAAATGGCAAAGTGACCACAGAGGTGGAGATGGGAGGGATGTGGCCACAAGCCCAGGAATACTGGCAGCCCCCAGAGGCTGGAAGAGACAAAGAACAGATGTGATATGGCTTGGCTGTATCCTCACCCAAATCTCATCTTGAATTGTAGCTCCCATAATTCCCATATGTCATGGGAGGGACCCAGTGGGAGGTAATTGAATCATGGGGGTGGGTTTTTTGTGCTATTCTCATGATAGTGAATAAGTCTCATGAGACCTGATGGTTTTATAAAAGGCAGTTCCCCTGCACATGCCCTCTTGCCTGCTGCCATGTAAGATGTGCCTTTGCTCCTCCTTTGCCTTCCACCATGATTGTGAGGCCTCCCCAGCCATGTGGAACTGTGAGCTCATTAAACCTCTTTTTCTTTATAAATTACCCAGTCTCAGGTATTTCTTCATAGCAGTATGAAAATGGACTAATACAAGATGCTTCCCCAGAACCTCCAAGAGCGTGCAGCCCTGCTGACACTTGTATTTGGGCCCAGTGAAGCTGATTTTAGACTTCCAGTCTCCAGAACTGGGAGAGCATACTCTTCTGTTGTTTGAAGCCATCAAGTTTGTGGTCATTTGTCACAGCAGCCACAGGAGGCTAAAATAAAGGGAGATAAATGGCATTGCCACTTTTACGGTGGCCATGTCTTACAGGCAGGCAAAAGAATGCACTTGTGGAGAGATCAGAACTAGAATGCTTAGAAGCCATGTGCCAGCCCTTGGAAGACCATGAACTGGACAACAACTGTGCCACGCACTGCCCTGTCTGCTCCTTCCTGCCATTCACAATGGGAGTCCATGCTGGGCTCCTAGCTCAGCTCTCTAGGGGACAACCCTGAGTTTCAAAAGGTGGTTCTTTACCATCTTCACCACAAAGAAAGGAAATGAAATTCTTTCAAATTGAGATGTATTTTGATGTTTTTCAAAATTTGAGAGAAAGAGGAAGGAAGAGGAGAGGAAGAGGAATAGGAATCTCCAGTATTGACTTAATTCTTCTTATTTTACATACATTCAATTAAACAGATTTAAGCTCCACTTACAGTCTATGTTATTAAATTTGTCGAGATGGGAGATGAAATGCAGATTAAAAAAAAGAAGCCAATGAAATTCAGATTAAAAATATACATTGTATGTGACAGATAATGATAATTTCTGAGACTAAGTAACCCCTTACAATGTGTAAAGGTGTTTGCTACGTGTCACAGGTATTTTGGGTTTAGCATGCCTATTCTCGTAGGCATCGGGTGAAGAATTGTTCCACCCATTATTTCCCTATTGGGAGCACACTACACCTGTGTTTACACAGCAAGCCAGTCATTTGGGAAGGTTAAATTATTAATAGCTGACCTTGGTGTTGGTACATCATGAAGACACATACCGATTCAGGCTCTCAATTCAGGTATGAGTATATGTTTATGATCAGAACATGATTTTATTAATTTTATTGAACAAGTAATATGTATAAATAGAAAAACAGTAGAAATATATTAAATTGGCTGGGCATGGTGGCTCATCCTGTAATCTCAGCACTTTGGGAGGCCGAGGCAGGCAGATCACCTGAGGTCAGGTGTTTGAGACCACCCTGGTCTCCGTATCTGCTAAAAATACAAAAATTAGACAGGCGTCATGGCGCGTGCCTGTAATCCCAGCTACTTGGGAGGCTGAGGCAGGAGAATTGCTTGAATCCGGGAGGCTGAGCCGAGATCATACCACTGCACTCCAGCCTGGGTGACAGAGTGAGATTCCATCTCAAAAAAAAAAAAAAAAAAAGAAAAGAAAAAGAAAAGAAAAGAAATATTAAATGAACAATAATAATCCTTTTATAATTATTTTCTCATACTGTCAGTTCTACAACCAGTCCCTAGATACTGTCACTTTCCACCATTTCTGATTTAAGTCTTCTGATATTTATTCATGTGCTTTTTTTTTTTTTTTTTTTTTTTTTGAGACAGAGTCTCATTCTGTCATCCAGGCTGGAGTGCAATGGCATGATCCTAGCTCACCACAACCTCTGCCTCCTGGATTCAAGTGATTCTCCTGCCTCAGCCTCCCAGGTAGCTGGTATTACAGACGTGTACCACCACACCTGGCTAACTTTTGTATTTTTAATAGAGACGGGGTTTCGCGATGTTGGCCAGGCTAGTCTTGAACTCCTGACCTCAGGTGATCCACCCGCCTTGGCCTCCCAAAGTGCTGGGATTATAGGCATGAGCCACCGTGCCTGGCCTTATTCATGTACTTTTTAATATCATGCTGATATGTCAATGTCCACAGACTACCGACTACGAAGGTCAAAATTTAGCTGCTTTACATTTTCTCCCACTTCCGTCTCTTCACTCTGAGTTACAAAACCTATAATGCTATTTCAAGTCCTCTATAGATGTGTTTCATAACCACGTGGGAAAATTTTTTCATGTATAAATTTCTTGTTCCATTGATTCTAAATGCGCCTCTTGACTTGTCACTAGATAATATGGGAAAGAAGCATGCTTAAAAGACTTTCTTCTCAATCCCAGCTTCCTACTCTTTCTCTTCCCTTTAAGTAATATTTGCAATATTTTTTTCACTTTAATAAAATCTCTCATCAAATAATAAGTTGGTTTTTAAAATCAAAAACACATTTACAACATTCACTATTTCATTTTTTAATTTTTAATTTCTGTGGGTACATAGTAGGTATGTATATTTATGGGACACATGACACATTTTGATACAGGCATGCATGAAATGATAAACACACCAGGGTAAATAGAGTATCCATCCCCTTAAGCATTTGTCCTTTCTTTGTGTTGCAAACAATCCAATTATACTCTTTTAGTTATTTAAAAATGCATAATAAAGTATTATTGACTGTAGTCACATTGTTATGCTATCAAATAGTAAATCTTACTCTTTCTAACTCTATTTTTGTACCCATTAACCATCCCCCTCTGCCCACCCCCACCATCCACCACTACCCTTCCCAACCTCTGATAACCATTTTTCTACTCCCTAGCTCCATGAATTGTTTAATTTTTGGCTCCCACAAATAAATGAGAACATGCCAAGTATGTCTTTCTGTGCCAAGTTTGTCTTTCTTAGATTATTTCACTTAACATAATGACCTCCAGTTTCATTCATGTTGTTGCAAATGACAAATCTCATTCATTTTTTTGTGGCTGAATAGTACTCCATTGTGTATACGTACCATATTTTCTTTATCCATTCATCTGTTGATGGACACTAGGGTTGCTTCCAAATCTTGGGTATTGTAAACAGGTCTGCAACTAACAAAGGAGTGCAGGTGTCTGTTTGATACACTGATTTCCTTTCTTTTGGGTACATACCTAGCACTGGGATTACTGGATCATATGGTAACTCTGTTTTTAGTTTTCTGAGGAACTTCCAAACTCTTCTCCATGGTGGTTGTACTAATTTGCATTTTTATCAACAGTGTATGAGGGTTTCCTTTTCTGCATATCATTGTCAGCATTTGTTATTGAATGTCTTTTGGATATGAGCCTTTTTAACTGGGGTGAGATGGTGTCTCATTATAGCTTTGATTTGCATTTTTCTGATGATCAATGATGTTGAGCACCTTTTCATATACCTGTTTACCATTTGTATGTCTTCTTTTGAGAAATGTCTACTCAGATCTTTTGCCCATTTTTAATTGGATTATTAGATGTTTTCCTATAGAGTTGTTTGAGCTCCATATATATTCTGCTTGTTAATCCCTTGTCAGATGGATAGTTTGCAAATATTTACTCCATTCTGTGGGTTGTCTTTTAACTTTGTTGATTGTTTCCTTTGCTGTGCATTTTAACTCAATGTGATTCCAATTGTCCATTTTTGCTTTGGTTGCCTTTGCTAAATAGGGTATTACTCAAGAAATTTTTACCTAGTACAGTGTCCTGGAGAGTTTCCCCAATTTTTTTTTAAGTAGTTTCATTGTTTGAGGTCTTACATGTAGTCCTTTAATCCATTTTGATTTGATTTTTGTATATGGTGAGAGGGAAGGGTCTAGTTTTATTCTCCTGCATATGGATATCCAGTTTTCCCTTCAACATTTATTGAAGAGACTGTCCTTTCCCCAATATATGTTCTTGGCAATTTTGCTGAAGATGAGTTCACTGTAGGTATATGGATTTGTTTCTAGGTTCTCTATTCTGTTCCATTGCTCTATGTGTCTGTTTTTATGCCAGTACCATGCTGTTTGGATTACTATAGTTCTGTAGTATAATTTGAAGTCAGATAATATGATTCATCCAGTTTTGTTCATTTTACTTAGAATAACTTTGGTTATTGTGGATCTTTTGTGATTCCATGTAAATTTTAGGATAGTTATTTCTATTTTTGTGAAGAATGTCATCAGTATTTTGATAGAGATTTCATTGAACCTGTAGACTGCTTTAGATAGTATGGAAATTTTAACAATATTGATTCTTATAATCCATTAACATAGAATATATTTTTATTTTTTATGTCTGCTTCCATTTCTTTCATCAATCTTTTATAGTTTTCATTGTAGAGATCTTTTACTTCTTTAGTAAGGTTAATTCCTGGGTATTTTATTTTATTTGCAGTGATTATAAATTGAATTACTTTCTTTTTTTAAATTTTATTATTATTATACTTTAAGTTTTAGGGTACATGTGCACAACGTGCAGGTTTGTTACATATGTATACATGTGCCATGCTGGTGTGTTGCACCCATCAACCCGTCATTTAGCATTAGGTATATCTCCTAACGCTATCCCTCCCCCCTCCCCCCACCCCACAACAGTCCCCGGTGTGTGATGTTCCCCTTCCTGTGTCCATGTGCTCTCATTGTTCAATTCCCACCTATGAGTGTTTTCAGATTGTTCACTGCTGGCATATAGAAATACTACTGATTTTTGTAGGTTGATTTTTGTAACCTGCAACTTTGCTGAATTTTTTTATCAGTTCTAATTTTTTTTAGTGAAATCCTTAGGTTTTTCCAAATATAAGATCATATTATCTGCAAACAAGGATAATATGGGCAGGTCGAGAAATATCATCCAAGAACCAAGGCCTAGAATTGGGGACCCCAAGAGCCCACTTAGTACCCTGCCGCTTTGTGGCTGAGCTGGTACCTAAGTTGCAACACAAAGTGCTTTTTACCTTTACTTCTCCTTTTCTTTTTTTTTTTTTTTTTTTTTTTTTTTTTTGAGACGGAGTCTCGCTCTGTCGCCCAGGCTGGAGTGCAGTGGCACGATCTCGACTCACTGCAAGCTCCGCCTCCCGGGTTCACGCCATTCTCCTGCCTCAGCCTCCCGTGTAGCTGGGACTACAGGCGCGCGCCACCACGCCCGGCTAATTTTTTGTGTTTTTAGTAGAGACGGGGTTTCACCGTGTTAGCCAGGATGGTCTCGATCTCCTGACCTCGTGATCCGCCCGTCTCGGCCTCCCAAAGTGCTGGGATTACAGGCGTGAGCCACCGCGCCCAGCCTACTTCTCCTTTTCTTAAGCAGAAGAAGTCTCTCCCTGTAGCCCCACAGCTGGGAATGTCCTGGGTCACACCTGAAGCCAGCCTGTCTCTGAGTCTTACCCAAGACCCTGAGCAAGTACTGCCTGAGTACCACTGCTACTGATTATTTAGGGCCCAAGGGCTCCTTAGTCAGCAGGTGAGGAATCCTGCCAGATTGGGTTTTTCCATTCAAGGCAGGCACAGGGTATGTTTAGAAATGTCATCCCAGAGCTAGGACCTGGAATGAGGGCCTCATGACTCTTCCTGGTGCTCTATTCTACTGTGGCTGAGCTGGTATCCAAGTTGCAAGACAATTTCCTCTTTTCTCTTCCCTCTCCTCTCCTCAAGCAGAGGGAAAGAGTCTCTCCTAGAGCTGCAAGCTGTGCTGCCTTGGGTTTGTGAAGAGGTGATGCAAGCACTCCCTTGGCCACCCCAGCTGCTGTCTCACTAGGTTGTGTGTCCCCCAAGTGTACTGGCTCTGAGCCAAGAACAGCACCAAGACTTGCGCAGGAATTGCAGTTCTTGCGGCCTAGACTGCCTTTCAAGTTATTTTAGGACCCCAGACCACTTTAGCCCACAGTGGTGAGGCTTGCTGGAGCTCAGGTTCCCACTGCTGGGATATGCAGTTCCCGAATGGCTAGGGCTGGTCTCAGTGCTCCGTCCGTGGGAATTGACTGAGTTCTGCCTAGCGTTGCTTTACTCTGTGACAAAGCAACACTGAGTTTCAATGCAAAGTCCCACAGTCACTGCATTCTCCCTGCCCCAAGCAAGCAGATTCTCTGCCACACAACTGCTGCCAGGGGATGAGGAAGGGGAAACTCAAGACTGTCTTTCCCACTCTCTTCAGTGCTACTTCAGTGATATGAAGTCAAAACCAGATACTGTGATCATTAATCTGATTTTTGGTTCTTTACGAGCTGCTTTTTCCTGTGAATAGTTGTTCAATTGGTGTTCCTATAGAGAGGATGATCAGTGAAGGCTTTTATTTGGCCATCTTGCTCTGCCTCCTTTCAAAATTCACAATTTTATACTTAAACAAATATTTCTGTTGTAAATCTGAAGCCATAGAGAGAGGAAAAAATATATAATCCTGTGTAACTGAACAACTTTTCTTGAGGCATTCCAGTCAAGTGGACTTTTCTTAAAATTCATTAATAGTTACAATTGGTCTATTGATATTGGGACCATGACTTACTTAAATAAATTGGGTTTTCTCAATAATTTTATTGGATTATTTCTACTTGAAATAAACTGTCCTTGTTACAGACAAAATGAATGCCTGCACAAAATATGCCAAAATAATATATGTATAGTAGTTCCCCTTATCTACAGAGTATCCATTCCAAGAACCCCAGTGGATGCCTGAAACCATGGATAGTGCTGAATCCTACTTATACTATGGGGTTTTATTGCACATGTATACCTACGATAAAATTTAACTTATAAATTAGGTGCAGTCAGAAATTAATAATGATAACTAGAAATAAAGGAGAAAAATTATACCAATATACTGTAACAAAAGTTACATGAATGTGTTATCTCTCACTCTCTTTCAAAATAATCTCAATATTTCTAGACCATGGTCAACTGATGGTAACTGAAACTGTGGAAAGCAAAACCATGGGTAAGGAGGGGCCTACTGTAAGTAAGTTTAGAAAGGTTACAGAATGCAAGGTCTATTTACACATATTAATTGCATTTCTATGTACTAGCAACACACAGTTGAAAAATTTTTGAAAATACAAATTTTATTAGTCAGCTTGAGCTGTCAACAAAATATGCAGACTGGGTGATTTAGAAAACAGAAATGCAACAAAAGCCAAAATTGGCAAGTGGGATCTAATTAAACTAAAGAGCTTCTGCACAACAAAAGAAACTATCTTCAAGAGTGAACAGGCAACCTACAGAATGGGAGAAAATTTTTGCAATCTATCCATCTGACAAAGGGCTAATATCCAGAACCTACAAAAAACTTAAACAAATTTACAAGAAAAAAACAACTCTATCAAAAAGTGGGCAAAGGATATGAACAGACACTTTTCAAAAGAAGACATTTATGTGACCAAGAAACATATGAAAAAAAGTTCATCATCACAGGTCATTAAAGAAATGCAAATCAAAACCACAATGAGATACTATCTCACTGCAGTTAGAATGATGATTATTAAAAAGTCAGGAAACAACAGATTCTGGAGAGGATGTGGAGAAATAGGAACACTTTTGCACTGTTGGTGGGAATGTAAATGAGTTCAACCATTATGGAAGACAGTGTGTTGATTCCTCAAGGATCTAGAACTAGAAATACCATTTGACCCAGCCATCCCATTACTGGGTATATACCCAAAGGGTTATAAATCATTCTACTATAAGGACACATGCACTTGTATGTTTATTGCAGGACTATTCACAATAGCAAAGACTTGGAACCAACCCAAATGCCCATCAATGTTAGACTGGATAAAAAAATGTGGCACATATATACCATGGAATACTATGCAGTCATAAAAAAAATGAGTTCATGTCCTTTGCAGGGACATGGATGAAGCTGTAAACTATCATTCTCAGCAAACTAACACAGGAACAAGAAAACAAATACTGCATGTTCTCACTCATAAGTGGGAGTTGAACAAGGAGAACATATGGGCACAGGGAGGGGAACATCACACACTGGGGCCTGTCGAGGGGTGGGGGGCAAGGGAAGGGATAGCATTAGGAGAAATATCTAATGTAGATGATGGGTTGATGGGTGTGGCAAACCACCATGGCACATGTATACCTATATAACACACCTGCACATTCTGCACATGTATCCCAGAACTTAAAGTGTACTAAAAAAATAAATAAATGCAGAATTTCATTTCTCACACTTCTGGAGGCTGGAAGTCCAAGATCAAGGTGTCAGCAGGGTTGGTTTATGGTGAAGTCTCCCTTCCTGGCCTGCAGACCGCACCTTCTTGCTGTATCCTCTCCCTGCTTTTTCTCTGTGAGTGCACATATGTGTGCCTGAAGAGAGGAAAATAGAGCTCTTGTTTCTCTTCCTCTTTTTTAAGTACAGTAGTCCTACCAGATTAGAGCTTCACCCTCTGATCTCATTTAACTTCAGTTTCTTCCTTAAAGGCGCTATCTCCAAATAGAATCACATTGGGGGTTAGGGTGTCAACATATGGATTTGTTGGTACGTACAATTCAGTACATAATACCAGTGCACGTGGACGTCTTTGGGATGGCCCTGTCTTACCTAACACAGTCTGTTCTCTGACCCGCAAAGATTCACATCCTTCTCATATATAAAGCACATTCATTCACTCTACCCCAAGGTCCCCAGAAATCTCAACCTATTATAGTATCAACTCAAAGTCTGTGATCTCATCAGTTCAGAACTCCCAAATTTTAACACTGAAATCATCTGAATGAGTTTTGAGTAGGCCTCAGGGCATACTCCACCCAAAGCACAATTCATCTGTACTGTGGCTCTGAGAAACTGGAGAGGTAAACACAGTAGTGGGACGGGTATAGGATGACAGTTATAGACATTCTTGTTCAAAAAGGGAGAAAAAGGAGTCACTAGTTCCAAACAACTTCTAAATTCAGTTGGGGAAACTGCATTAGGTTTATAGGCTTGGGAATAGTATCCTAGGGCTCTCAGGTCTGCCCTCTGGGAGTCATCTTTCTTCTTCATGAATGGCAGCTTGAGATTGTAGCTGAGTAGTTTTATAAGCATGTTTTCTGCCTGAGAATTTTGGGGGTCTGATATGGTTTGGCTCTGTGTTCCCACCCAAATCTCATGTCAAATTGTAATCCTAACGTGTTGAATGAGAGGCTGGTGGGAGGTGATTGGATCATGGGGCTGGTTTCTAATGGTTCAGCACCATCCCCCTAGTGCTGTCTTGTGATAGAGTTCTCACAAGATCTGGTTGTTTAAAAGTGCGTAGCACCTCCCTCTTTGCTTTCTTTCTCTCCTGTCACCATGTCACAAAGGGTGCTTGCTTCCCCTTTTCCTTCTACCATGATTGTAAGTTTCCTGAGGCCTCCCCAGCCATGCAGAACTGTGAGTCAATTAAACCTCGTTTCATTATAAATTACCCAGTCTCAGGTAGTTCTTTACAGCAGTGTGAGAATGGGCTAATACAGCGTCCAACAGCCTTTATTTGTTTCATACTCCCTCTCTCCTTTTCAGTCCAAGCTGGCAATGTTTCTACAGATATAAATTCTTAAGAATCTGCGGATCTTCTATGTATGTCATGGGAATTCATTCCATTAGACAAGTGGCTCTTCCTAGGATTCTTCTAGATACTTTCATCTCTATGTTTGCCTTCTGCTGAGAGAGGTTTGGGGTCTGTGAATCACACATTTAAGCTCTTCAAAGGGCCTTTTGTGTGACTGAATACTTACCTTTTGATCTTTCAAGGTATTAGCAAAGGTTTTTCAGCCATGCTCTCAGGATGGCAGTATCTTTCTCGACAGTGAATCTCTTAATTTCAGCATTTTTTATAATCTGAATAAAGTGACACATTTCTCCAAAGAAGATATAAAAATAACCAGTCAGTGCATGAAAAGATGCTCAACATCATTAGCTTGTAATATTATTCATCTATAAAAAGGAATGAAGTAGTGGTACATTCTGTACGTATTACAACATGGATGAACTTTGAAAACACAATACTATCTGAAATAAGCCAGTCACAACAAAATGCATATTGTATGATTCCATCTACATTAAATGTCCAGAATAGCCAAATGTTTAGAGACAGAAAGAAGATTTTTGGTTGCGAAGAGCTGAAGAGAGATGTGGGAGAATAGAGAGTGGCTGCTAATTGTTATGCTAATCTTTTGGGGGTAATAAAAATGTTCCAAATTTAGGTCAGTAATGGTGCACAACTCTGAACATACTAAAACCATTGTGTTGTAGACTTTAAATGGCTAAGTTTTATGGTATGTGAATTTTATCTCTAATAAAGGTGTCAAGAAAGGAATAAACTAGGTAGGGAAACATATCAACCTATCCGCATATAATCATGTGAAGTCACAGGTGCCTAATGCGGTAACTCACTAAAGAAAACAGGCTGCTGAATATATTTTAAGGTTTCAGTTTATTTCCTGGATCTAAAAGAATGGAGGTAAGGACATGAAGAGGGAATGTATACCTTTGATGTATTTGATTTAGAAGCTTAAAATAAAGCATAACTACAATTTCTTAGTTCATAAGATGTGCTGAATAATGCTGATGACTTAGTTTCTACCATTTCAATAAAAAGTATTATGTGACTAATTTTGATGTTATGCTACTAGTTTTCTTAGACTATTTGAAGACATGTGAATTTGTAAGGAGAAGCTTTTAAGATAAATTAGTATCTCTGTGAGACTTTTTATAGACATAAGTCTGGAGTATAACCATAAATAATATACTTTAGTAACACAAAGACTGCATTACAAAAAAGTAAGCGAAAATACAAGCAAAGGCACAGATTTTTAAAACAAATGCTCTCTTCATTCAAAAGAAATGAACTGAACATCTGTTTGCTGGGCCCCTTAGAGACATGAAGTTGCGATTCCTAACTAAAACAGAAAAGGAAAATATCAAGCTAGTATGGGAAATAGACTTGAAAGCAAATAACTAGTTCATTGATAGTAGCTCCTGGTAGCAGAAAAGAAAGCATGATCAACTTTGAGAAAGTAAAACACACACACACACATTGTAAAGAGGTACTGACTGTACATTTTCTTGTAGCTCCTCTAGCATCACTCAGGTAAGATTATTTAATGCAATTCTCATCCCAACAATAGTTATTTTGTTTCTTACATTTGGGGTTGGATGACTCTAGAGAGATTTCTTCAGAGAAATATGTTTTTGTGTATTTTGAGTAAATCTCACTTTTGTAAAGAGAGAGAGTGTTCCCCTGACTCACAGCTGCTGCCACGGCTTCCTTCCGTCTCTAGGGTTTTTGTGTATGGATGAGATGTTACCATCTCAGCTCTGACCTATGGATTCATATGGTGAACAATCTGCCAGTGGGACAGTTTAATTCAGGAATAGGTCAAAATCCCCAAGGTTCATATGGTGATTTGCAGACGTGCTACCTGGTTTTAAATTTCATTGTTTCTAATCTCTTGATGGTACAGCATGATATAAATTTATTCTTTCATTATGATAAGAATCTACCGAGGAAATAGGAGTAGCACCTGCAACACATAGCATGGATTCTACCTCTTTTACTTTAAGAAAAAAGAAAGAAATATAATTGGAAGTCTTGTTCAAGCATCTGCAGTGCCTGACTCAGGGCACTCAATCAATAAATATGCTGGCAGAACTAAATGATGTGTTTCCTGCATTCTCATTGAGCTTTTTCCTTGTTACTAAGCAGCATCTGTGTTAGGTCCATCGCTGACGGAACAGGCTGCAGTGGTTTATTTTTAAGCAAAAGTGATCTCATTGGAATTTGTGAATTAATGGTACCGACGTTGGAAAATGGACAGCTTCTTTGATTTCCACCTGTTTTTGTGAAGTGTTGGTAAGGAAGCAAACAAATAGTATCCATTTTGTAGGAATAACATACAAATTGTTCTAAATACAAAGACTGCTTTACTCTGAGCCTCAGCTTGGGGGTCTGTCTCCCCTGTGAAGCTAGCCCTCCATAACCCTTGTCTCCTTTGAGTTTTGAAAACACCTAGTGCTTGACATCTGCCAACCGATTCCTCACACATCTTTGGAGGAGTCATTTCACCTCTCAGCAGCTCAGTAGCTCAATGTAACTTTCCTTCCTCCTCATTATGGTGGGGATCAGGAGAGATAATAAATATCATTGCACTCGGAAGACTATAAAGCACTTTAGAGTTGTCAGTTATTCCAAATTGCTCACAAAAGCAGAATCTCACAGAAAGTCTTGGACTCTTCTGGGTAGATTTTCTTTGTTACCAAGCTGAGTTTGTCAGTAGCTTACCTCTACCTGCAGGGATTGCATGCCCCTCCAGCAGCTATGCTCGGGTGATGGGATTTATTTCTAGTTTTCTGGTATTTAAAATATTTAGAGAAGGAGTTCCAAATGGTTCTCCAGGAATTTTACTATTTAACAAATATCTGAGGAAGGGAAAGGAGGCTGAGAAATTTGCATTACACATTGGCCACCGTAAAGAGTAACTACATCACTGCAGATTTCAGCATGCCTTTACATGCTGGTGAGCTAACCAGGCCAAGTCAATTTGAAGTGCCATGGAGTTTTCTATAGTATATCAAGCTAAAGGGCTGGAAGGAACTTTATTTTTCAGTGATCCCTGAATTGCCTTTGGGATGAAATCCAAACAGTGAAAGCCACTGCCCCTTCTTGCATCGCCACCTTTATGTTGCCTTCCAGTTTAAGAAGGAAGATTGAGCACAGAAATGTTCCTTGTTTTGATGGCAAAAGCATGTGGAAGTGACAGCAAAATAAATAACGAAAAACACAGCTGCAGCCGGGCATGGTAGCTCACACCTGTAATCCCAGCACTTTGGGAGGCTGAGGTGGGCGGATCACCTGAGGTCAGGAGTTCGAGACCAGCCTGGCCAATATAGTGAAACCCTGTCTCTACTAGAAATACAAAAATTAGCCGGGCTCGGTGGCAGGTGCCTGTGATCCCAGCTACTCGGGAGGCTGAGGCAGGAGAATCGTTTGAATGTTGGAGGCGGAGGTTGCAGTGAGCCAAGATTGCGCCACCACACTCCCGCCTGGGTGACAGAGCAAGACTCCGTCTCAAAAAACAAACAAACAAAAGCATAGCTGCTTCTTTCTCAAAAACAAGAACAGGAGTTCTTCACATACCTGGATTGAAAGGGAAGACATCCTCATAAGAAGGAACAGGTAAAAACCTATGGCAGGAGGGAAGGCCAAATTTCCATCATCCTCAAGTCATAGAGACTGAAGTCAGGCACAACAGGAGGGCTTGGAAGGTTGGTTTTCATGAGAGACCAGGGGTACATGGAGTCCCTGCCTGAAAACTGGGTTCATGGTCAGAAGGCCTCAGATCACATCACCCATTTGGGGGAAAGGGCTCCAGCCTAAATGACCACCAAGACTTAGTTTAGAGCTGTTACCTAGACAGAATCTCAAAACTGCCTGAGGACCACCCAACCAGGGGCCTCTCAAGACCCAGAACACTTGTAAGACAGAAGCTTACAACCAAGAACCACAAAGCATCTTCAGAAAACATCCCCCCATAAAGCAGAAACCAACCCAACACACATGAAAACCAAAATCCAAAGAAATTTAAATCAATAGGGAAAAGAGAAAATGACATTTTAGATTTTTGAAATAACTATCACTATGCTAAAGAAGCATGAAACTATAAAATATGAGTAGATGATCTTGAAAAAAGTTATTTAGATATATTAGATATTAAAATGTAATTATTTTAAATTTAAATCCTTAGTTGGGTAATAGAACAGTCTAGGTGTATTAAAATATTGACAAGTAGGAGATTGAACTGAAGAAATCATCCAAATACTCCCAAAGTCAAAAAGGAAAAACTTAAGAAAAAGCCCGAGGTGTGGGGATTGACCTAGAAGCTCCAGCACAGTCCAGATGGGATTCTGGAAGGAGGGGATCAAATGCTGCAGGAGCCATATTGTATGAGATAATTACTGGTAGTATTCCTGATGTGAAGAAAAATAGTCTTTAAGCTGAAAATATTACTGACTGTTAAGCAGAATTTTTAAAGAAAATCCACAAGTGGACATTTTTTCTAATGGAATTTCAGAATATCAAATACAATGAGAGAATCTCCCTTCCCCTCTAGGATTTCCTGTTCACATTGTCTGCCACGCCAATGCCAACACACACAATCTCTTGAAAATACTGCATCCACCGACAACTTTCTGCCCTTATGAGCCTTCCTAGCTTGAATGTTTTTCTCTCTCCTTTATCTTGGCTAGCAGCCTCTTTCCTTCAGCAAGTCCTCCTGGAATCAATCCCTCCCACTTTCTTATTTAATAGTCTGCTTCCATATTAGCAGGACAAGCCCTGTTCCTCTCAGCCCCGTCCCTGCTATGTTCTGATCATTCATTCTGCTTTGGTTCCACTGCTCTGTGAGCTTGTATAAGGCCTTTCTCTTCTTCAGGGCTCAGCATGGTTTGTGGAATGTGGCAGTCTCCTGTGCCTGTCATTATCTCAGATGATTTTGGGAATGAATCAAATGATAAACCAATGAATTAGATATCAGTTGAATGTGCAAATGAGCCATCTAGGTACAGAGAGGCCAGCAGTGAGTTTCTTAAGGAGACAGAGCTAATTAAGGACAGAGTCATGTCCTGGCTTGAATGGAGCAATTTTGATAGCATATATCATAATGCCTCCACCACATACTTTCCCTATATAGAAGTCTTAAGTGTTTTAAAAATACCTTTAAAAAACAAATAAAATTACAGTTTTTAAAATAAAATACATGTATAGAAAGAAAGATTTTCAGAAAGTGAATACATTGCCTTTTCATCTTTTATTTCCAACGTTTGTTTAAATGGCAGTCTTACATGTTTTTTCTTATGAGGCACATAGATACCTTAAGTTGCATGGCTAGAATCATTCTTGAATAGTGAAGTTTAATCAGATAAAATGTAAATTTCAACATGATTATTATTTTCTGACCACGTACTTAAGAATGTCTCAGGAAGTTTTAGACTTCTTAATTGCAAGATCAGAGTGTAACTTTATTAGATTAATGTCTAGTAATTTTTAAAATTCTCATTTATTGTCGTGTATATGGAAGTGTGTCATGTTTGAAGCCATGTGCCTTTTCCTGAGGCTGCTTCAGCCACACCTAGAAAGCTCCTAGAGCGAAGAAAGAACTTGGTTTGGTTTAATGCACTATGTTCAGCGCCCGGGATAGCTCCATATACAGTCATGTTTCACAATAAGGCCACCTTGAGTCACAGCATTCTGTAATTTTCAAAAGACTGCTACACACAGTAACCCTATTTGATATTCAAGAGATCAGTCAATGCACAAAGGAATACATGACTTTTCTGACAATTTCAGTAATTTGTCAACAACCAGACCCAAAAGGAAGAAACCAAAAGTGACGTAATAAAACCCATGCAATGCACTGGGGTCCTAGAAGCTTTGAAAATTTTATTTAGAGATTATTTATTCCTATTTGTTTATGTAATCCTAACAGAATTTCTTTCTGTTTTTCTAACCTGCCACAGAGTTTAAAACACAAAATTAAAAGAGGCAAATGGTTCTGTCAAGGTCAAGAACAACAGTCCAAAAAGCGTAACAGCCAGAAATTGAAACAAGAAACAGACATACCACCAGACATTGAAATACAAAAACACACAGCTCTAGAGCCACTGAATGTGGAATGCACACAGACATATGCACCTCAGTTAGCACCAAGATCACCCCACATAGCAGCACAACAGGAAACTGTTGAAATGAGAAAACTGGGAGTCTTTGAAAAAAATGTGCAATGATATTTAGCATCTTCTATTTAAGAGGGCAGGGAAGTAAATAAGCATCCTAGGTAGATAATGTCCATCAGATGTGGTCAAGTCAATATACAGAGGAGTTTCTTATTAGTATCACAGAAGTGAAGGTGGTGGAATGGACTGGCCTGTAGGCTCACAGGTCAGGCATGCTGACAGCCCTGTGTCTTTTCAAAGTCAATAAGTGGATTTTTGTGCCTCTAATGGAGAGAGCCTCTTCTGAGGAGGAGCAAAAACTCTAGAAGCTTTGATCTCTGGAAATACAGGATAAAAGCTCTCAGATTTTTAAAGTCTCACCCACTGACGCCATTAACTAAACATCTCATCTTGGGATGAACATTAGCTGAGTGTGTTCACAGGCTTATCCCAAGTGCTTTCTCCTAAGCCTTGTAACAGAGATGCGGCAAGGCAGAATCTGGTAGTCTGTGTACAGATAATTGGGGTTTGATCCTGTCTGAGCAAGAACTAACCCACAACCCAGAGACAGCCAGGGACAAGTGAAGCTTATGGAGAATGAAGACCTAAGGAATATTTTCTGTGTCTTTGAATTCTCAGCAGCTAAAATGCTGCACTTAATGAATGCTTCATGATTGACCAATTACATCATATGACTGAGGTCCATTCTGGATATCCGTATCTTCCTCTCGACTATTCCCACCCTATTGTTCATAAATCAATCCTGAAAGAATTATTTACCTCTGTGCTGAGAAATATGATCACTTACATGCTGCAGGTGTGGGTGAGAAGGCGTGATGCCGTTCTACTGAATCATGATTTCCTTAGCATAGGTTTTGATAGTTTAATTAAAAACAGAATGCAAGACTGGCTTTTATCCCCATTCACTTATGGACGTCATGTGTGTTCCCATCCATACTATTTATAAATGACAATCAGAATGTTTATGGTCCTCTCATTTTACTAATTATGAAACAAGCTTAACTCTTTGCTTTTTATTTTTTTCTAGCGGAAGATAATAGTCTGTCTCAAAAGAAGAAGGTCACTGTAGAAGATCTCTTCAGTGAAGACTTCAAAATTCATGACCCCGAGGCTAAGTGGATAAGTGGTGAGTCCAGGTCCTTCGTGCACAAGACATCGCTTCCCCATGCCTCACCCCCACTTTCAATAGGTTGGGTCTAGTAATTTGCCTCTCGGATTTCCCCCTTTGGCCACAGAAGGGGATCTACAGAGCTTTTGCTGTAGTCATCATCAGATTATCATTCTATGAAAATGTGTATCTGGTAAAATCAGGCTTTTGTAATGGTGTTGCCTCCCGAGCATCCACACAGCCTTCACTTAATGAGAAATGGGTCTGCTGAAGACGTGTCCTTTGTGTGCCACCTCCCAGAGACATCATTTCTCCGGGGGAGCTGTGGGGTGTTGCTTAGCAACAGGAACAGTGCAGGGCACGGTGAGCTTTCCTTCCTTCTCCACAATCTTCATTCCCCTTTGTTCTCTTGCTCTCTTTCCGTTAGGCAGAAGGACCAAAAGCAACTCATGGAGTTCTTGTAGAATAGCTTCCAAATGAAACTTGGAGTGCTGTACACAGATGCAGATTCATTTATTTTCCCTGTTGAACTTTAATTTGGATTAAATCTACTTTCCTTGTATGGGGGATTTTTTTTTTAAAACAACAGAACAAAATACAGTTGGGGGCAGAAGGCATATGTTCACAATGCCTGTGTTGGTTCATAACATAATCTATTTCTTCTAATTGGGTCTGAAATAATTCAAGTGCATCCATGGAAGATGTACCCATCCCTCCACAGGCCAAGTTGCCAGCACCTCCCTGTTGCCTCCATTGCTGTTGCTTACATTTCATCTTTGCTTCAGTGGAATACACTTGAAGGTTTATCCTCAGGCCAGAGAACTTTATAGTGATCAAAGTCTAGTTCAGATCCTTGCTTTTATAATAAATGAGGTCCAGAGAGGTCAAGTGACTTTTCTGAGGTCACAGAGCTGATGAGTGCGAGCTGTGGCTAGCAGCCCGTCCCCTGACTTCCAATTCAGTGCTCTTCCCACCATCCTCTTTTGCTGAGTGATCGAGTGTCGTTGTATGTTTTTCTGTCAAACTGCTTCTAAAATGCTTTTCATGCTTCACAAACTCTCAGAAATCAATTAACAATGACTCTTGGCTGTTAGTCTCCTGCTTAGGGGCAATCACTTTTCTTTCGTCCTCTATTGTGGCTTCAGTATTCATTTCTGACCCTTAGATTAGCTTATTTAAAAGTGAAAAAAGTAGGTGGATCTCAGAGGGAATGTATTTTAGAAAACTGGGGAGAAATTAGAGCAGCAGTATATCATGAATACCAAGGGCACACAGAAATTAAAAAACAAAACAAAACAGCACAGAGGTCTTTTTGTTTGGTGGAGGAATTGACTTTGCCTTTGTTTTCGGCTGACCTGCTGAAATGTTCGTGTTCGTGTTCACTGTATGTTCGTGTACACCCGCTGCATCAGCAAATGCAAGCACTTGTGGGATGCCACAGGTAGACCTTGGGAGGAAAACATGACAACTCTCCTTGAGGAGCTCAAAGTTGTGTTGGAGACGTATCTATGAGCAGCCAGTGGGAATCCTAACACACAAGACTCAGAGAGGAGGATCGGAAGTTCTCATCCTTCTCAAAGGATGTCCCAGAGACAGTGCACAAACTCAGTCTTAAAGCGATGGCTAGGAGCTTGTTAGAGAAAGCTAAGAATAGAGCCCTGGAAGAATGTTAGGTCTAGAATGTTAGTCTTGCTAAACCCTGGTTGGGGGAACCAAAACCAAGCTGAGAAACAATGCCCAGCAGTTACAAAAACAAAACAAAACACTTAGACTTGTGGTATTTAAGAAAATGAGTGAGCACAGTGGCTCACACCTGTATTCCAGCACTTTGGGAAGCCGAGGCAGGCAGATCGCTTGAATCCAGGAATTTGAGGCCAGCCTGGGAAACATGTTGAAACGTCACCTTTATAAAAAACTAGCCAGCCATGTGGGACCTCTGGTCCCAGCTACGTGGGAGGCTGAGGTGAGAGGATGGCTTCAGCCTGGGAGGTCCAGGCTGCGGTTAACTGTAATCATGCCATTGCACTCCAACCTGGGTGACAGAGCGAGACCCTGTCAAAAAAAAAAGAGTGAACTCTTTGGTATTTGTCAAAAACCAATTATAAAGGCTCAGTTAATCATTGCAGAGTTACTTCATTCACTTTAAGCTATTACGTCTTTAGGGAGCAGGTTTGTCCATGGAACTGTTTCTCAGTGGTATACATGGGAGTCACACCACCCACCACCATGATCTCCCACCACCACCACCAGCAGCACCAGCACCACAGGCTTCTCTTTCTGCTCCTTCTCTGCTTCTCCTTCTCCTTCTCGTGGAGAGGCAGAATTCAAGGATGAATCAAGAGGCCAGAAACAAGGGACACCAAACCTGAGCTCTAGGGTTCAGAGTAGGTTGGAGGAGGGCCTGGGAAGACGCCATGATATGTTGAAATAAAGTGTATTCATACCTATAAGGTATATATTTTTATTAGAAAGCCCATGGCATCAGACTTGGCCTAAAGCAGCATTCCATGCCAAAAAAAAAAAGTATATGTAGAGATGTGGAGACACAAGAGCACAGATGTTTCTGGAGGAACGTGTGCCAGTTCATGGTATAAGGAGTTTGATTTTTATGAGCAAATGAATGGAGTCTGCCCAGAGAGGCACTGGCTTTCTGGCCAGAGGAGACCAGCCGGATTTTCTTTATATCCGCAAAGCTGGGAGTTAATACACGCAATTGAGACGTGGCTATGTGCCCAGCAGAAAATGCCCAGCCTGCCTGTATCATCAGGTTATGCCTATTCATAATGACCACCTGCAGTTCTAAATGGACCTGCCTTTGGTGTTGAGGAGCTTTCTTAGGATGATTCTCCCTCTGTAAATGTACACACTGAAGAAACTTTGCTGTGAAGTAACCAAGTGGTTGGGTCCCCAAATACAGGTTTGATTTGGAGTGTTTTGGAACCTAATAATTCCACTCACACATGACCCTCAGCTTCCCCTTACCTTTTTTTTTTTATCTTATTCCTCTTCCTAAACATTCTCTCTCTTCCCGCTCCCTAAAGAGGCAATAGCTTAAAGTGAATGAAGTAACTTTGCAATGATGAACGGAGTCTTTATAATTGGTTTTTGACAAATACTATAGAGTTCACCCATTTTTTTTTAATACCACAAGTCTAAGTGTTAAGATCTGGGAAAAGATTACTACAAATCCATAGGATTATCTCATGTTGTAGAGCTGGGATGAGCCTTAGAAATTATTAGAACATTAATTCATTCAGTAAGAGATTTTTGAGTGCCCACAGTGTAGCAGACAAATTGCTGGGCCCAAAAGCGGTGAGCGATTTGTTCATGGAACTGTTTCTTAGTGATAGACATAAGAATTATTACCCACCACCACCATCTATCACCACTACCACCATCACAGTCTCCTCTTCCTCCTCCTCTTCCTCACATCACCGTCATCATCATAACATCATCATCAAGATCATATTATCATCTTCATTATCTTCTGGGTGTTTACTGTGTCTTAAGCTCTAGGCTAAATGATCTATATACATATATATATATATAGACATTTAATTACCACAACTACAATGATTCCCATTTTACAGATGAAGAAACTGAGTCTCAGGGTATTGAAATAACTTGATCAATATCACAAAGTTTGTAAGTAGCAAAATTCTGATTTGAACCTAGGTCTGTCTGGTTTTTATAAACTACCCTATTCTGGATAAAATTCAGGTCTCCTGCCAATTTCTTTTGCAACCTTAGTAGTTACATTGTGTATTTTAACCAAAATTATAGGTTCCGAACAGTTCAGAATAATTGCCACTTTTTGAAGTCTCTATTCTAGCTTTCTATTCCCATAGTGACCATGTCAAAGTTACAAAATACGCAAGAGATGAAGAAAAATGGTGTAATTCTCTACAGAGGAAGAGACTTGATTTTGTTTTTTGTTTGTTTGTTTGTTTGTTTTTTAGTACACATTAACTGCTGAAGTTAACAAGTGTACCTTGGGTTTAATATTGGAGTTAACAGTCTGGAACTAATACGCTTTATTTATCAGGAGGAAATGTGTTAGGTTGGAATTGAATTTCCCTTCCCTCATTTTTATACTGTATGCTTAATTTTTTAAATCTACCTTGTCTGAAAATGATTGGTACAACAGCCTCACATTCTCTAACATCCTGAAGACCTTGTAGACTTCCTTACTTGTTTGTTGCAACTACTGGGGCAAGCCAAATGAGGTGTGTAAAGCCATGAAAAGGCCCACTCTGGGCCAGGTGTGGTGGCTCACGCCTGTAATCCCAGCACTTTGGGAGGCCAAGGTGGGTGGATCATTTGAGGTAAGGAGTTCGAGACCAGCCTGGCCAACATGGTGAAACCCTGTCTCTACTAAAAATACAAAAATTAGCCAGGCGTGGTAGGGCACACCTGTAGTCCCAGCTACTCGGGAGGCTAAGGCAGCAGAATCACTCAAACCTGGGAGGTGCAGGTGGCAGTGAGCCGACATTGCGCCACAGCACTCCAGCCTGGGTGACAGAGCAAGACTCCATCTCAAAAAAAAAAAAAAAAAGAAAAGAAAAGAAAAAGAAAAGGCTCACTCTGGGCTCCCTCTCAAAGAGGTGCACACTCCCAGAAGTGGTCACAGCATTGCCTCTCCAAGTATTTGCTCCATTGAGTAAATTCTTATACCTGTTATAACAACCGCATTGCACTTCTTAACCTTTTGGAGCCCCTTTGTGCCATTCTGGGACTCCACTCTAGGGGCTGTGATGAGATATTTTGGTTACTCTTTGTTTACATGGACCAATCATCCTGGGCTCCCCTGGCCCATTCCCTCTTTCTCATTTCTAGATGATGATAATTGCAAATCTCACCTTCTCTGCCCAACCCTGCAAACTCCCTCCCCATCCTCCTTCTCAGCTGAAACTGCCAGAAGAGAGCTTAGGAACACTCCCACTGTCCTGTCAACTGGCCTCAACACTGCCGCTGGCTCTTCCTGCACCACTCCCACCCCGCCCCTGCCCCGCCCCACAGGTGACCTGTCTGCTGTCTGCACTCAATCTAAAGGAACCACAGATGCACTCGCTTCACTTACCTGAGGAATCATTACAGCAGGCCCCTCCTTTCTCCCCTAAATTTTTGTTCTGTATTGGCTGATTCCTATCATGAACGAAATGTGGTCTTCCTTCTCTTACCTTAACACAAACACCTCATCTCAAGTCCACATGCCCTGCCTGGCTCGGCCTGGCTTCCCTGTTCCCCTTTGCAGCCTGAAGCAGTCTTCTATCTGTAACATCTCCAGGTACTCTTCTTCCACTCTCCCTAAATCCACTCCCGTTAGGCTACCACGCCCAGCACTCTCCGAAACTCCTCTTGTCAAGGTCAGAGATGACCTCCAGGTTGCTAAATGCAACAGGCATTTCTCAGACCCCAACTTATTTTACCTGCCAGCAGCATTGGACACCATTGATTCCTCCTCTGCCCTGGATACACTTTTTTCTTTCTTGTCAGCTCATGGGCATCTCCTTTGCAGGAGGGTTGGCCGGTTCTCCCTCTTCTCCCTGACGTTTAATATTGCTGCAAGACTCAGGACTTGTTCCTCTCCTTTTCATGGCTGCACGCCCTCCCTTGGTGTCTCCCTCCAGTCTTATAGTTTTAAATATCCTCCATTTACTGATGATTCCTAAACATATGTCATCAGACAAACCTTCTCTCAAATCTCTCAGATGTCTGAGAGACATTTCAATTTTAACCTTAATATCTCCAAGTCTCAGTCCTTGATTTCCCCCCAAAACCAAAAATACAAAAGAAAAAAAATCCACCCTATCCACAACCTTTCTGATGTCAGTTGATGGAAAAATTTGTAGAACAAGCTAAGGACCTTCAAGTCATCTTTTATTCTACTTTTTCTCTAACATCCCACATCCGATCCATCAAGAAATCCTGCCAGCTCTGCCTTCAGAACACACGTGCCCATCCTAGCCTCCACGTGATGTTTGGGTGCATGAATACCATGGCAGACTTGGCATCAGTCCACTCGGAGGGTTGGAGGGCTGGACTCAAGCCCAGCAGCAGCAGGAAGGACCGAGGCTCTACTCCGGCACCTCAGGTACTAGCTCAGGTGCAAGGAGAAGGGGATGCTTGGGTGACTGGGGTGGAATTTTAATGTTTCTAACTTTAAAAGTCTGAATTCCTCAAGTTTCTCACTTATCCTCACTTTGTACTCCCTGAGGGGAAATAATTCACCCCCACAATGTTAGGTATTGTCTATATGATGATGAGTTTCAATTCTCTAGCTCAAATGCTCTTCCGAGCTATACACTTGGAGAGAGAGAGAGAGGGGTGTGTGTGTGTGTGTGTGTG
This sequence comes from Homo sapiens, assembly GCF_000001405.40. NCBI lineage: Eukaryota > Metazoa > Chordata > Mammalia > Primates > Hominidae > Homo > Homo sapiens. The sequence continues at coordinate 59,017 of NW_012132919.1, forward strand.
TGTGTGTCTGTGTGTGTGTGCATGTCAGTCACTGGCTAATTTCCATGTCCACTGCAGTATCTTACATTCACCTCACATCCTCATGCCCAGCACTACATCATCCTCCCCCAACCTCTTCACAGACCCCCCGCTGCCCACTGTGCGAGCACAGCCCTGGCCCCCCGACCCTCCATGTCTCAGACTCTACATGATCTGTTTACTCTCCTGACTCATCATTGGCCATCTCCCCAGTTTTCTCTTAAACTTTGCCTACGTGAACTTCTTTGGATTGCTTCAGAAGTCCATCTTCTTTTCCCCCAGAGTGGCTCTTACATAGGATGTTCCTTCTGTCCAGCCCACTCGCTCTCCTCTCCGCGTCCACTTGTGATCACTCCTAGTCACCACCCTGCATGTTATCTTTTTCCTTTAAGTTGCTCCCTAATTCTTGCTCTGCCCCACATTGACTCTTCTGGTTTTGGATTCTCCTATATCCTGCACTGACCCTTTTGTTACATAGGTTAAGTATAATTATTTATGAATGTAAACTCCACAAGGATGGGACTCGCATCTCTGTTTACTGTGGTATCCCCAGCACCAGCAAAGTCCCCAGTTTGTGGCCGTCCACGAAGACTTCTTGGGCATTTTCTCATTTGATACTTAAACAGCCTAGTTTTAAAGATAAGGAAACTTACAAGCATGTGATTTCACATAGAATGGTGGAAATCTTTTCTGATCATGTGATTTGGGGGCAGGGACCTGAAGGTGAGGATCATGCAGATGAGTTCTCTGGGGGAAAGCCTTCCAGGCAGGGTGGAACAACCAACGCAAAGGTCTTGGTGCAGGAGGCTGCTTGGCATATTCATGAACAGTGTTGAGCCTGAGGGAGAAGAGCCAGAGATAAGATCAGAGTGGAGGCTGGGACCAACACCTACAGGCTCTGTGGCAATGAAGGGGGCAAAGGGAGTATGGGGGAGAATTTAGAGAAGCTGAGAAGTTGGGTTTAACTTATTGGCACTGAAGGTTTTAGAATAACAATGACATGGTGCAAGCTTAGGCTGATATATCAACTTCTTGTATTATATATACTACACATTTGTTATATGTATGTATTTATTACAGTAAATTAGAAATCAGAGATTAACACAAATTTAAAAGATACTAAAAATTACCTGTAACCCCTCTAACTGAAAATGGCCACTATTAAATTTTCATAGCTCTCCTTCCAGATAATAACATATATTGAATAATACTAAGTGTATTAAGTAGGAAAATATTCATAACCTATACATACATATATTCTCATGGCAGTAAGTATACATCGTCATTATCTTTTTAACATCTTAATAGTATTTCACGATATTAATGTGCCTTAATTTGCGCCATCTTCTGATATTGAAAGTTTAGGCTGTGACAGGAAAGGAAGTGGCAGGTGTAAAAAGCCATGGTGAGTGACAAATCAGCAGGAGGTGGTAGTGTATAGAAATGGAACACCAGGGAAGAGAGCACTGTCAAGGCTGACTTGAGGATCTCAGGCCTGGGCAGCTGGAATGGTGATTCTCTATTCTTGACAGGGAGTCAGTTTCTGTGACTGGATGAAGAGTTTGGAGTGGAAGTCTATGAGCAATAACTCGGTGGAAATGTTCGTTAGGTATTGAGAACTGGGGATGAAGCCAGGTGAGAGGTTGGAGCCATCTGGAGGACCATGGAAAGCGTGGGTTGTGGAGGTACTGCTCAGAGCCTCTCGGAGGGAAGAGGGGAAGAGGGACACGGAGGTGTCTGAGGAAGTGTGGTCAGGGAGGCAGGAGGAGAACTTCTACCACGCCACGTCAAAGTCAAGGCAGGAGAAAATGCTCTAGGCGAGTTAGTGTGCTGCCGATTTTGTAACGGCAGATGTAAATGAAAAACCACCCCACGGTGGCCACGCACCTCTTCCTGGCTCACAGCCCCAGGGACGTGTTTGTGTAGACAATAGTGGTGATCATTTGAGTCATATTTAAATTGTTTATTTCTTTCTGTTAAAGGTAAACTGAGGCACAATACAATTTTTTTTTTTTTAAAAGCATTTATTTGAGCAAACAGTGATTCATGAATTGGGCAGCTCCAAACCAGAAGTGGTTCTGGGGTTCTACCAAGGGAACAAGGGAGAAGGCTTTTACAGAACAAAGACAGAAGCAAAGCAACTATCTGATTGGTTACAGTTATGGAGTTGCCTTATTTGGTCAATCCTGTTGGAAAGTTCTTAGTTACAGAAGTTAGTTGGGAGCTTCTGACTGGTTAGTCTTTAAGTTTCACTTTTCTTTAATATAGGCATTTATGAGAAAAAGCCCAGGTGAAGTTTTTGTTTCGTTTTGTTTTGCTTTGCTTTTGAGACGGAGTCTCGCTCTGTCGCCCAGGCTGGAGTGCAGTGGCACAATCTTGGCTCACTGCAACCTCCACCTCCCGGGTTCAAGCGATTCTCCTGCCTCAGCCTCCCTAGTAGCTGGGATTACAGGTGCACACCATCACGCCTAGCTAATTTTTGTATTTTTAGCAGAGACAGGGTTTCCCCATATTGCTCAGGCTGGTCTTGAACTCCTGACCTCGTGATCTGCCCGCCTCAGCCTCCCAAAGTGTTGGGATTACAGATGTGAGCCACCACGCCCGGCCCAGGTTAAATTTTATTTATGTTTGCAATTCACACAAGGTCAAGGTTACTTACACTTACAAGGCCAACTGGCTTTGTCTCCTTGAGGATTCTTTAGGCCTTTTAACTTACTTTTAACATCACTAACCACACTAATTTATATGGCAAATACCCTCTTATTGACACTGTTGCAGACTATAGTAGGGGAAAGGTTAATTCCAGAAGCAGGGTGAAAGACGCTTACATGCAGACAGCTTTCCACCCTCTCCTCACCGCATCTGTGACCAACAGAAAGTGTCTCCTCTGTCTTAACAGAATTTGTCACTCTGCTCAGGTAGCTGATGCCACTGCACCTGGTGAGCCACCTAGCTCAACAAACATATTTGCTTTTACAGATCTGCCTTTTATGAAGGCAGCCTGGGCTAAACCTTGGAAATGGTTTGATAAGCCCCATGCCCTGTGCTCTGAGCAAATCGAAGCCTCCTGCATCCTTCAAGGGGTCCCCTCTCCTCCCGTCTCCTCCCAGTATCTCTTGGATGCAGGCAGGCCTGGAGCTGATTGACAGAAGCTGCTCGCTGGGCCTGATTAACTTGTCTGCTAGCTCCAGGCAGAGCTTGGCCTCACAGCCCATCCGGCTCCTGCCTCCTCCCCGCCCCCTGCAGCATGTTCAACTTTAGTCTGAATATGGTGATAGACCATGTGGCTGGCACCAGCATCTCTCCACTGTCTGTGTTTGTTTACGCTCATTTTCATTAATCCAGCCACTTGTTAGCAGAGAGCCCTCTGTGTCTCTAGGATGCGGTACTAGAGAGACTGTAAAATTGAAGAAAATTGCTTCCTTTGAATGGAGGAAAATATCAGCTGGCTGGTTGATACTGGAAAAGTATATGTTTCAGAAGATAAAATTGGAGTTAGTGCACAGGGCTCAAAGCAACTTGATTTCCATATGTGCTTTATCCTCTTCTCTTTTGTTATGCTGAAAAAACAGATGGGTTTTTTTTTTAAATAAAGCTTATGGGGTTAGGTAGAGGGGGGAATTCAAGTTTAAAATGGTTTGGGTATTTCCACTGCTTTTTGGAGGCCACATTTTTCAATCAAAACCATTAAGCCTTAGAATTGCAGAGAGTAATAAAGTCCCCTCGAGGGCACTTGGTACAGCAGCCTGTATCCCATGGCCAGCAGGGACTTCAGGGAAGTACCCAGGAAGGGCAGGCTTCGTAAGAGGGACTGTGTTCTCCCACGGCTCTGAGAGTGTTTGGAGAGCATAACAGTGATCATTTGAAGTCATTACATAAAAATACACACTGAAGCACATCGTTGTACCTTAATGAAGTCCTTAAGAAATAAACAAAATGTAATTATGGTTTACATTGGTGTAAACCACCAGTTTATTTTTTCTCTCTTTTGTTGTCATGCTCAAGGTCGCACCTTTCCTTAAGAGAAGAGAGCCTCAGTTGTCTGGCATTAGGAACCCAATCATGTCTCTGACTATTTTCGTGCAGTAAAATCTGTCCATGCCATCACTCCCATTTTTTCTGCCTAACACAGTTTCAACAGTATCCTGTCTGCACGGCCAGGCTTATCCTTAAATGCATCTTCCCCATTTCTGGTCTCTGAGCTAAGACAATTATTTGCTTAAACTTCTGCAAAAGTTTCCTATTGGAGTTTTCTATAGGACCTACGGGAAGAACTCAAAAGACAGTATCATTTAGCGCCAGCAGCAGCGGAAGCAATAATTGCAACAGGAATTGAAAGGATAACAGTAGCTGCATGAAATATCTCAGTTACTTCAGTTCAGTCTTCACTGAAACCCATGGAGGCAGGAATTTTTTTTTTATTATACTTTAACTTTTAGGGTACATGTGCACAACGTGCAGGTTTGTTACATATGTATACATGTGCCATGTTGGTGTGCTGCACCCATTAACTCTTCATTTAACATTAGGTATATCTCCTAATGCTATCCCTCCCCCCTCCCCCCACCCCACAACAGTGCTGGAGAGGATGTGGAATTTTTACCTTTACTTTAGAAATAAGAAAACTATGAGTCAAAGACACTAAATCACTTTTTCAAAGTTACCAAGATGGCTTTAGAGAATCCAGGGTGTTCCTGCCTCAGTGTACCTTGCCTCCCCGGTCTCCTCACCACCCCTACTCATGGCCTCTATTTTGTTTTTTTTTTGAGATGGAGTCTCACTCTATCGCCCAGGCTGGAGTGCAGTGGCACGATCTCAGCTCACTGCAACCTCCGCCTCCCTGATTCAAGCGATTCTTCCGCTTCAGCCTCCTGAGTAGCTGGGACTACAGGTGTGTGCCACCACGCCCAGCTAATTTTTGTATTTTTAGAAGAGACAGGGTTGCACCATGTTGGTCAGGCTGGTCTCGAACTACTGACCTCGTGATCTGCCTACCTCGACCACCTAAAGTGCTGGGATTACGGGTGTGAGCCACCATGCCCGGCCACTCATGGCCTCTATTACCACGTTCCTGGCCATATTAGGTTCTTTGGCAGCTTTGTGACTTTATTGCTCTTCTCTTTTTCTGAAAATACCGTTGCTCATCACTTCTCTGCTTCAGAAAGTCTCATTAATCCTCATGGCTTGACCCAAAATACATTCTCTCTGATTTTCCAAATTAGAATTAGTTGTGTACTCCACGATACCGCAGTAGAACTTTACAAAACTTCAGTCAGAGCATCAGCTTGTGAACCAGCTAGGGTTGGACCACCTTGGGGATGCAGCCCACTTCGCAGAGGCTGGATGCACTTCCTCCGTCTGAAAGCAGAGAGAGGTGTGTCTTGGGGCAGGGCAGCCGATTTCTTCCACACCACGCTGGTCCCTTCCAGAGGTGCTGTAGGTCCTCTGCCTGTAGGTCCTCTGGGCGGACTCTAGTTCCTAACTGATGGATGATGCTGGGCCCCGCTGTTGATGCTGCTTAATTCATAATTTGGGGACTCAAGTCTCTGCAGGCTCCACTGGGCCAACTTGCTTCCTGCAGAGATACATGTTCAGACTCTACTAATTACTTTTCCTTGGCAAACGTTGCATCCCTGGGAAATTTAAATACAACTTCCATCTTTGTTGACTCCAGTTTAGACCCCGGCCAAGACTGAAATCGCGTTTCAACTTTATTTGTTTGCAGTATACAGAGGGACAGGCTCTTCTTTTTTTGTTTTTGCTTTTTTGATTTAGGGAAATAAATATTTGATTTTGTGTGTATATACGTGTATACGTACATATTTTTTTCTCTTAAGTAAAGGGATCTCATGTGAGATGTTCATGTTTTTTTCCTACTCTGATAAGTAGACAGATATTCTCCAGGTCATTATACGGTTGTTTCCAGGGCTCCAAGGATCTCAAGAAATAATCCTGAAGACCCCGCCGTACTCAGCCCCTCCATCCTCCTACCTAATAGAGCAGATGACAGGATACGCCGTGCAGCGTGCCTTGTGGCCAGCCTGGTCTTTCTTCAAGGTCAAGCTCAAAATCAAAGCCTGGGGCAGGCGGTTTTCTGCCTGGCAACGCAGCTCAGCCCCAGCAGCCCACAGACCAGGATGCAGGAGTTTGTTTTACTTTAGTTCCGTTCCAATTAAAAGAGTCTGAGAGCTCAGGTGAATCCCAATGCACTGTAGCTGTTTGGCCCAAGGGTGAGATTCTGCCGCGTCCTCTTTTTAGAGTGAAGCGCATTCAGAAGACCCATTAATTAGAGACTATTCATCCTTCAACACGATGATATTCACATGAGCACTGACACCACCATTTATTGTCTCAGTTAAATTACTTCACAGAGTCCTTAACCATGGTAACCTGCTAGGGTCTAATTAATTATCATTGACATCTTTTCAAACATCGATCACCTTCTTAATTAATAAAAAAGACTCACTTGATCTCTTCGGTAACTGAGCACCGTCCCCTGTGACTCATCAATCTTTTGCCCACAGCATGTCTCACTTCACATTCAGGTGTCTGTCTGCATCTCTGTCTGGCTCTTGACAGCAAACATCTTGGGGGTCACAGGTATGTTGTAGTAATTATCATAGTTCCCTCATAGGTCACAGTATCTGGGGTGGGATAAAGTCTCAATAAATATTAACTGATTGAATGATTCAGCAAATGGGCAAATTGAGTCTCCAGAGAAGAGGCCTCTGGGAACTGAATTTTTGGTTAATTGAGGGCTGGCCAGGCTCTTTATTGTAACTCTTCGTGTTTTAAGAAAGTAGACACACGTGGGCGGGGCGGGACGCAGTAGCTCACGCAAGCCTGTAATCCCAGCACTTTGGGAGGCCGAGGCTGGCGGATCATGAGGTCAGGAGATCGAGACCATCCTGGCTGACACAGTGAAACCCCGTCTCTACTAAAAATACAAAAAAAGTTAGCCGGGCGTGGTGGCGGGTGCCTGTAGTCCCAGCTACTCGGGAGGCAGTGAGCCAAGATTGCGTCACTGCACTCCAGCCTGGGTGATTGATAGAGCGAGACTCTGTCTCAAAAAAAAAAAGAAAGCAGACACACCCTTGTAATAAGAAACGCACATCTGATTCTATTTTCTTGCTTTAACTGGGACTCTCTAACAGATGAAAGAGATAGCTCCTGCTACTCCTCATACTAGATGTGTTCTCCATCGTAAGTTTGATACTTGCCACTTATTGATCATGTGCAGAATGTGCCAGACATGATGCTAAGTTCTTAATCACTTAGCATCCCGTGAAAGACAGGCGAGGCCATCGTCTCTACACAGCCCACATATTTACAAATCTTCCAACTGGATGGGGCCATCCAGAAACACAGGCATGAAGCTATGTCCTATGGAAGGTACTGTGGCCTTTTAAATATTTGGGGTGTGATATCATCCTGGTCTCTTTTCCACCTAAATCCCCGTCCCTCCTCCATCCTCCATCCTGTGCATCACTGGGACCTCATGACGTGTTTATCTCTCAGCGATACTTTGCTACCAGCACTGCATCTTCTCTGTTTTCCAAAATACACTAACACAAACATGCTTCATAACAGACATTTACAAAAAGTGACAGGATGACAAAGGAGAACTGTGGGTACCACAGAAGATGAAGCAACACCGATATGAACAGCACGGCTTGCTCTTCTTAAAGCCCCTAGACATTCTTGCTTAAGAGAACCTTTCCTTGACTGCCCCTTTTTCTCTTGTTTATGGGGTCTTCCAACAACTGCATGGCCTGGTTGTGCTGCGGTTGCTTCTATCACAGAACTTTTCCGTAGCCCCCATTGCCCTAAACTGTTGCCAATAAAGACCAAGTTGGGATTCAGGGATATCGAAGTGAATCAGAGTTCTCTTCAAACTTAGTGTGAATCTCATGTTCACATTTAAAATGCTTTAGGGGCCCTTTTGTGCAGGGCTGACACCCATATCCTATGCTCCCTTCGCAAGCTGAGTATTTGCAGGACGCTGTTCTGAGATTGGTGTAGACCTTTCTAATATCCGGCACTTTGCAGTTGAAATGGAATTCGTGCTTTGTGGTGTCTTTTCTCATATCTCTTTAGTGTAAAAGTGGTAGAAATGTGTAGAAATAGATATAGCATCTGGATATTGTGATGCTGAGCAGGTTCTGGGCTTTTAAACCCAGATTTCCAAAATAAGTGCCAACCTCACATCTGATGCTTCTGCCGAGTGCTCCCTGGAACCCAGCCTAGACCGTCTCTTGGGTCAGGATCTTCTGTTCTCTCTCAAGACCCCTTATTCATTCCCCCTCTTCTCTGAATATTTTGGGATCCTCTGAAATGTCCTCCCTCCAGAAAAAAAAACAGGTGATAGCTCTCAGATTCCAGCAATTTATGAAGCAGATTAATCTAGCTGTGCTGGTCAGGCCTCTCTCCTGTGCTCCTGCCTCAGGTACCTTTCTCAAGGATCAACAAAAAGCCAAATGCAGGAATTTCCCCAAACGAAAGATACGTTTCTGGAATTTCTACCCTTTGCGAGGCAAGGAACCGACATGTGCATTCATTTTCTTAACTTCTCCCAGATCACATTCTTACACAGGACAACCCAAAGAAGGGAAAGATGGAATAAACCTCGGAAGTTCAAAGTAGCAGAATGTTTCTTATTTACACCAGTGTTACAGATCAGGGGCCCTAGAATCAGAGAAGTTAAGTCACTTACCTTAGGCCACACAGCTAATAGGTGACAGAGCTAGTCTTTACTTTGAAAATGCTTCTGACAATTCTGAAAACATGCCCAAAGTCCAGTGGAAAGTTATGTTCACTAAATACAACGGTACCAATTAAGTCTTCATAGGGTTGAACTTGAATCTGCAATGGAAATCTGGAAGTATCTGTGAAGGATGAGACAACACCCCCAGGTGTCTCTTCCCCCGGCTCCCTCGTGCTCTCTCAAGATCAGCCCAGCTCATTAGTGCAGCCCGTGGCTACATCCAAAGCACGCAGCCCTCCTTGCTGCAGTCTTTTGCAAGCCAGGCATCCTGAAGGTCACAGCAGAAGTGCTGTGGGGTAAAGGATGAGTTTGTCAGCAGTGCCCCGTGGCTGCCTGGGGCTCTGAAGGGCAGCCAGATGGAGTGTGAGCTTTGCCTTTTCCACCAGATGTTATTTACTTATTTTTGCTGTTAGCTTCTCACTCCCATCTCAAACACCTCTGGGCACCAAATACTTGAAAGTAGTTTGTGATCCGCAAAGACAAATTCCTAATAAAAGTCTGAAAATAAAATAATGTTGCTGGAGAATTATTTGGGATACTTAAAAGTGTTGTGTGTTGTATCTAACGTGTTGCTGGTGTTTTCCATACATCCATGCTAGCTGCTTGGGAATTGCCGAGTTCTGAGTCAGGAATTTTAATGGGCACATTTATTCAGACCCTGAGCCTCTGCTGCTTAGTTCTCACCAGTGATAACATAGTTTACAGAGTGACAGCCGGAGACCAGGAATGAAGCTTTATAAGTCATTTTAATTATTTGATATTACTTGTAAGTTGCCGAAGGAAGGAGACTCCTGTATGACTATACTGTAGGTGTCTATTTGCGACACACCAGTGAACACGCACGTGCGATATACAAAGGACAAAATGCATGTGTGATGGTCAGCGACTGAGAATGCCCCTTTCTGGCTGACATCAGAGGGGTGCATGGCAACAAAATGTCATCCCAATCTCTCATGGGATGTTTTCTTTTCCAACTTTCTTCTCAATGGCTTCTGACATTAAAATAGGTTTTTACTGAATATAAAGTACTTATGTTCCTCAATAAAACCCAAATTGTTGGGTTTTAAAAACTTAATGTTGGATTAAGATCTCCTAATAAGCAAGGTTAAACAAACAAGGGGGTTGGAAATAAAATTAGGGAGTGCCAATTTACCAGCTGCTGTGCGTTAGCAACAATGGCCCTGTTAGCGCTCCCCCAGGTTCTTCATTAAGCTCGGAAAATCCTTACTCCCTGATTGCTCAGATCCCACAGATGAGCCTAGAAGAAAGTATTAAATGTCTAAGAAAAGACACAACATATTCAAGTCTAAAAAGATGTTTCTATTTCACTTTGAGGCTCAAGTAAACCCATCCCCCGCCCCTTGTTCTCTTCCCATCATCTTCCTTTGCCATTGGAGCCTACAATTCGTCCAGAATCCTTTCCTCCTCCCTCTTTTGAATCAGTCCTTGAGACAGCATAAAAGAAGAACAAAAGCTCCACCTTATCCCATCGCCATCCACCTGTCTTACATACTTGAAGAACAGGAGAAGATAAATAAGATGGCCCAGCATGGTCATTTTCTAATTTTTATGGAGGGACTTGAATTTGAAACCGACACCACTGACTGTGATCATGCCCCCAGCATACGAAGGAGGATTTTCCTTTGGGCTCCCAGGCAGATTTAGGCAAGTTCCTCTTCTCTGCCTGCCGTGACCTTTAGAAATCATCCACTAATGTGTCTTTTCATGACTTCCCTTCCAGCGTTAAGTTCCAGGAACTTAATCTCTTTAAGTGATTTCTGTCCAAGCTCAGTAGCTCAAGGATCCCATAATGTTACCAAAAAAGACTAAGATCTCCATGGTTCTAGCTGCATCCAACAATGTAAACAGGTAAAGTAGCATCCTTGGAGCATCTTTTATTCACTTTATAAATATGATAAAAGTGCTGCTAGGTGCCTAAAGCTCTGATTTGTTAGATGACTTGGGATCACAAAGGCAAATAAGACAAGCTTTGTACCTTGTATTTAGAGCAGAAGGTATATTTTAAATGTTAAAAGCCATCGCTTTATTTTTATTTGATTATGCTGGGGGCTGAATCTGTAACACCTTGTATAGCACCCAGGAAGTATTAGTTAAGTGAATGCATGCAGACGCACACCACATGGTTCCAGAAAGGATTCTGGGCAACTCAGTGCAAACATCAGATAGCAATATCCCAAATCCCAACAACTGCAACAGAAAGAAAATAGGAGAAAAGATGAGATTTGTGCCCGCAGTGCATGTTGATTTAATAGGAATTTCAAAAGAAAAAAGGACGTCTGTGGCCAGGTATATATCCAAAGCCTGCTTTCTCCTTCTCGCCTCACCTCTGCTGGCTTCTGGAGCTCACACTCGTTCACCTCGTCCTTCCCTCGTTCCACCCATTCCCTATTCTGGTGGGATACCGCACCGGGTGTTATGAGTACATCAGCTCATTTGATATTCACAACCATTCCTGCTGGCTGGTGGTATCTCCATTTTACATATGAGGAAACTGAAGGTTAGAAAGGCTAATGAGGATCACAAGTCTCATGGCTAGTGTCATAAGAGAGCAGATATGACTTCAGGCTTGTCTGTCTCCAAAAGCCTTCGATGTGGACCCTACACCATCCTACAAGGAGGTGGTTCTCTAATCCGGGATGAAGCTCTTGTTCTTCCTGTTTTTCCTTTTCCTCAACATATGAGGATTTGTTCTGAAGATCAGCAGTAAAATCTCACTGAAGGGTTGAGGCTTGTTTTAAACGAGTCCAGAACTAAGATGTAACCCAAATAGAAAAACAGTCAGTAAAAATCCACGAAGCTCCCGCATCCCTCTTCTTAAACATGGCCCAGTGACCCCCGTGTGCGGGTTAAACTCGAGATTCCTTTAGAAGATCGTGCTTCTTATATAACTAGGACTAATGAAAGCAGCCTGGAAATGAGTGCACAGTTTGATATGGGACCCATCAAAGATGTCATTCAGCCTGAGGATAATGACCCCCAAGGCTGCTGCAAGAGCCATGTTTGAGCTAGAGCCAGATCTCCTTGAAGTTTATGCTTCAATAACTTCGTTAAGCCTCCTTGGTGCTTTTGGGTCAAGCATGACTTTAGTAAATGAATTATACGTTGGATAAGGGTCATTTTGTAAGTGAACCAAATGATGATAGGAAAGTCATTCTCTGCCCATACTTATGGTGTCATCTGTAAGCACAGACCTGCAACTTTCCGTGGTTCAGTGAGACTGAGACCCTGGGTAGGTGCACTCATCACAGGCCTCACAGGGAGATTTTATTTAAATTGACACAAAGAATTGAGGATTGGTGGCCCATCGTTTTATTTGAAGATGTAGACAGCAAAACTAAAATATTTGGATTTCTTTTGTTCTGTAAAAGATTTATTTTTATGTTTTGAATGCCTAAAGAGAGAAAATAGTTATTGTATGATGATGGTCATCTTACATAAATGAAAATACCATTTAATGACATGAATCTTATTCATTCTAAGAAATTAAAATGCCTGTAATCATTCATTTATATTGTTGCCTTGTTATTTGGCTTTCGTGAACTGTGTAAAAAGTTGTGAATTTTTAAAGAATTCAAGAGCAGGATTCCGTTTCTGGAATTCAATATCGGTCACACTGTGATTGCGAAACCTCTGTATACGGATGCAGGCAGGGAGTTTTGTTTTGATTTGGTTTGGTTTATGTGTGAGCAAAATGTGTCATAGATCTGTAGAAACTATCCAATTTTATAGATCCTTTCAAACATGGAGTTGCCAGACTTCTCCTAGGAATTGTAGCAGGTAAGATAAGCCAAGAAGTAAGAGGACCATCTGATAGTTCTTATCTTACTTAGATGGAAAGTGGAAAGCTCATGGAAACTAGAAATTTTTGTGTGTGTTGGTTCTTATTTATTAAAAGATATATTGCCGGATATTGTGGCTTACACCTGTAATCCCAGCCCTTTGGGAGGCCAAAGCCGAAACATCGCTTAAACTCAGGAGTTTGAGACCAGTCTGGGCAATAAAGTGAGAAATCATTTCTACAAAAAATTTGTAAAAATTAGCCAAGCCTGGTGGTGGACACCTGTAGTCCCAGCTACTCAGGAGGCTGAGGCAGGAGGATCACTTGAGCCTGCGAGGGACAGGCTGTGGTGGGCTGACATCGCACCACTGCACTCCACCCTAGGCAACAGAGAAGGACCCTGTCTCAAAAAAATATATATTATACATATTTTTTATTATATATAAATATATAATATATGATAACATATATTTATATATATATGTATATCACTTGTAAGCCTCAGTAGTTTAATATTACTAACAAACTTCACAGTGACACATCACACAAATGATCTCAGCATCCTAGAACTTAAAATCTAGGATGAATATGTTCTTATAATTTTTGTTTCTTTCTATATTTCAGATAAAACTCAGATACCTAAATTTCATGATAGCTTTCTCCCTGGGAAATTATATTCTCTTCTTATTGCAAGCACCACATTATTGATTTCCCTGATACCTCATTACCAAGACTCTTTTCTGCAAGAGAAAAGACGCTGAGTACTTTATCCAAGTTTCACATCAGGCCCAGTGATCCCCAACCCACTGTCTTTCCATCAATTTGCCTCCTCCAAGTCAACCAAATGCATTCAGTTAATAATTGAAAAAATGGTATAAAAATAAATCAGGCATGTATAGACGTTGTCCTCAGGTACTTGCAGATTAAGGGAGGGAGTCAGGTAAATGGTTAAAGACATAACAAAGCATGGGTGCTTTCTCGAGATACAGACAGAGGAGGGAGAATACAGAGAAATGGCAGCTTCCTGCTGTAGGAGCTTAGAGAGAGTCTCGTGGAGGTGACATTTGAACCAAAGTAACATTTGCACATAACTAGGACATTGCCATGTAGAGGCGTCTGGTATGAGGAGGGAGCAGGGAATTTCTCTAAATATTGCAGGTAAAAAGGTTTAGGAAAAGAGTTGTGGCATATCCAGAAACTGATCAGAATATGGATTTGGCTTAAGCCTGCAACATTCAGTATCTGGTAGGAAATGGGGCCATGAGTGTGAGGAGAAGACAGACCCTCAGGGCGTTTCTGCAGGCCCCTCTCTAGCAGCTGGGGCCATGGTGGGCTCTGAGTGATGAGAGCTTTTTATTTCTTAAATGATGAGGGTGGAGTGTAGATAGTGGGCTAGGAGAAAGACATGTATATGTGTTTGGCTTTGGGGGGTTTGTTGTGGTTTTTTTTTTTTTGTTGTTGTTGTTGTTTGAGACAGAGTCTTGCTCAGTTGCCCAGGCTAAAGTGCAGTGGCTCACTGCAACCTCCACTTCCCAGGTTCAAACAATTCTCATGCCTCAGCCTCCTGAGTAGCTGGGACTACAGGCATGCGCCACCATGCCCGGCTAATTTTTGTATTTTTAGTAGACACTGGATTTCCCCATGTTGGCCAGGCTGGTCTCCAACTCCTGACCTCAAGTGATCCATCCACCTTGATCTCCCAAAGTGCTGGGATTACAGGTGTGAGCCACTGCGGCCGGCCTGTATATATGTTTTAATGAGTCACTTTCTACATAAAAAGTTATTTGCAGGAACCAGTGCGGGGAGGTAAGAATGACTTAGGCAAATCTCCTTCTTTTAATAAGCTTGGAGTCCAACAACAAGTGGGCGAGTCACAAACACCAACAGCTGTGTGTGTACCCAGATGCAGGAAGGGACACAGAAGGAAAAAGACACACTGAACATTTGGCACAGCAGTGCATTGAGCCAGGGACTGTCAGAGCTGAGTGCTGTGGGCCTCTGGTAATGACCATTAAACAAACACCTGCCAGAAAGAACTTCTCCTCCACTGGGATTCAACAATAGGGAATACCTCATCCAGTCTACCTATTCGTAATAGACAATTTAGTAGGCAAAATCTTAAATTTTCATAAAGAAGAATATCTTAAGAGTTGGAGGTTTCACACATATTGTATATCTTAATTTTCAAGGAGATGCCTATGATATGTTTCTAAGATCTTTTTTTTTCCTCTCTGGAATAAATACTAGTGAACTTAATTTATTTCAAGAAGAATACAGATGCACCTCTTAAACATACTACATACACTCCATAGTCTCAGAATCCAAGACTGCAAATCTCCTGTCTAAAAGGAATGAGTTAATTTTTGAAAAGCAGAGTGAAGATGTTATGACATAAAAGCTATAAAAATTCACTTAATTTAATTAACTTGACCCGAAGGGGAGCTATGTGAGTCCAGAGACTTAAGATTTTTTTTACTATGTGAGAATATCCCATTACCAAGTGTCATATATTTATCCCATAATTTTCAGCATGTTTTACTGTGGGGTTACTCCTCAATGGCAAATGTTCCCTGAGCACAATGAATGGCATGCGCCCGTGGCTAGACCCCACAAGAAAGTCAAGCTCCTTTGAACCCACAGTGTGCTGGGGGTCTTCGACTCTCTGGAAGAGGTTTTGTGAAGGGGCCTCTTCAACAGAAAGGGGAAGGAGTCCTTTTGGATCTGCCCCATCGTTACCATCCAGCCTGCTGTGGAACAAAGGAGAACAGACCTAACGCCTGTGCTTGGAAGAACTTGGAAATGTGTGCTGGGAAACAGGATCGAGGCCTTCCTTAGTGTCACTTCATAACATAGAAGTGTTCACGTGACACCTGCTTGTTTAGATGACTGGTGTAGCTCAATCTTCCATGATTACAGCTACAGAATTTTGGATATGCTTTTATTGTTTAGCCTAGAATACATTTAGAGAATATAAAAAATTTACTCCCATCTTTAAGGAGGTTACATTCTGGCTCATCCATTCACTCATGCAGCATTGTGTTGAGGACCTACTATGTGACAGGGACTATTTCAGCCACTGGGATAAAAAGGTAAAGAAAGCAAACTCCCTCCCTCCCCCCATGAACCATTGTAGGTTAAAATAGCCCAGTGGTATTTTTCAGAGCTCAATACCAGGCAGAACTGGATGTAACCTTCACAAACTTGGAATTCCATCTCACATCTGACAGACTAAAAAACTAAAATCACTCAAGTAACCTGCCCAATTAGAGTCTCTTCTAGTTTGTACTATACCTTCAACCTGGAGTTGAGACTGAGGAAGGCGGAGGAAGGTGAGAAGAAGGGAGTGTTGGTCAATCCTCAGAAAAAGAACTAGGACAGGCTGGGCATGGTGGCTCATGCCTGTAATCTCAGCACTTTGGGAGGCCCAGTTGGTTGGATCACTTGAGGTCAGGAGTTTGAAACCAGCCTGGCCAACATGGTGAAACCCCCATCTCTACTAAAAATACAAAAATTAGCAGGATGTGGTGGCGGGCATCTGTAATCCCAGCTACTTGGGAGGTTGAGGCAGGACAATCATTTGAACTCGGGAGGTAGAGGTTGCAGTAAGCCAGGATTAAACCACTGCACTCCAGCCTGGGAGACAGAGTGAGACTCCATCTCCAAAAAAAGAAAAAAAAAAAGAAAAGAAAAAAGAGCTAGGATAAATTAGATCATCATTCACAGCAGCATATTCACAATAGTATCAAATAAAAAATTTTGAAAATAGAATAAATGTATGCCCATTTTTTAAAATTGGCATGCATTTCCTGAATATGCTTAGAGGAAAAAGCCTGGGAAGGAATAAAACAAAGGGTCGTCAATATTTATCTTCTAGGATCAGGCATGCTTTTTTTCTTTCATCTCACTTATCTCCTTACAGCATCCCTGACAACTGGACTTACCTGTTTTATCTTTATACCAGAAACCAGCCCACTCTACCAGGCCATGCAAGGTCTTTCCTGCTCAGCAGGATGATGGGGGAGGACGCGTTGTGTCTCTATCATGGCAATCAGAAGAAGGAGAAGATATTCTGTCATCAGGGAAGGGGTGAAACCGAGCATGGGAGAGAATAATATCAGAGGCAGTTGCCTGCTTCATAGATAGTTACAGAAAAACATCTGAACTGACATGGTGCTTACATGAGATTGCCACAGTTGATACAGCTCAGAATACAGCCTTTTGAAAAGTCTAAGCTTAGAAGCAGTCGAGAACACAAAAGGAAAGAAAGGAGAGTGAGGTACTTGGACTGAGCGAGGTGGAAGGTAATAGAATCCCAAATAATTGGGTTAACCAAATACGCAATGAATTTTCCTCACATACAAGCAATCAGAGATAGACCATCTTTTTATTATTTTTTATTTTATTTTTTGAGATGGAGTCTCGCTCTCTCACCTAGGCTGGAGCGCAGTGGCATGATCTCGGGTTACTGCAACCTCCACCTCCCAGGTTCAAGCGATTCTCTGCCTCAGCTTCCTGAGTAGCTGGGACTACAGGCACATGCCACCACACCTGATTAATTTTTGTATTTTTAGTAGAGATGGGGTTTCACCATGTTGGCCAGGCTGGTCTCGAACTCCTGACCTCAAGTCATCCACCCTCCTCAGCCTCCCAAAGTGCTGAGATTACAGGCGTGAGCCACCAAGCCCAGCCAGATAGACCATCTATTATGGCTAGTGTCATTGCCCTCAAATATCAAGGACCCAGGCTTCTAGAGTAGGGTGTTCCAACCTCAGCACTATTGACATTCGGACCAGATGATTCTTTGTTGCAGCAGCTGCCCTGTGCACTGTAGGATACATGCCTGCCCTCTACCCACTCAATGCCAGCAGCACCCACCACCTACGCTGTAAAAATCAGAAAGTCTCCAGACATTCCCAAATGTCCCCTGAGAGGGCAAAATCAGCCCTTGTTGAGAAATTACTATTCTATATCCCTGCTCTGCCATCAGTAACATATGGCTTTTATCTTTAGATTCACAAAAGAAAAGTAGGCAGGTGAGTTTGTTGGCAGTCACAGCTCTACAGAAGCCTTGTGGTAGCTTTCAGCTCACATCTGTCTCGTGGCCCTGAGCTTGGCCACGTGACTAACCCTTTGTTACTTGCACAGAAGTCGGGGAGGAGAATATTTTTATCTGGACATATTGAATCCCTAGCCAACATTAGGGTTCTGAGGAGGACAGAATGGGTTTGGGGCAGGTGACTGGCAGGCTCTACAAGAAGACATTAGAGAAGAAAGGAGTAAAACAGATATTTCACTGACCTCAATGATAAGGCATTTCATGGATACAAAAGGAGGGCCCCCCTGCGGTACAAAGCATGGCCATTCTAGCACTGCCCCCCTGCCTTCTAGGAGCACAGAGTGTCTGTGAGCACTGCAGCAGCCCATTCCCAAAGAAACTGGGCTCCTGTTCATATTCCACGAGGCAAGTCTTAGACCATAGGTGTGCCTGCAGTCACTCCAAATTGCATGTCCCTGCAGTGTGAGGCCAACATTAAGTCTTGAGATGGAGCAGCGTTAATTGGCCATTGCTTAAGAGTCTCTTCATTTTCTCATCTCATGGGTTTTAAATATTTTTTAATGTTTTATAGGTCCTTTAGGACACCACACCTTTTCATTTATTTTAGTATATTTTGGTTAAAAAAATTCTGTGATGTTTAAAATTAGGGAATAATAAAAAAATTCCCTATGAAACCTCACCCTTAGCTTGAAGAAGTAACAAGTCATAGTGAATCTCTGTTTCCTCTATATCCCCACCACCCACCAACCCCCCCAGATCCCATACACTATATCATTCCATCTACAGATATTTCAGTATGTGTGTGGGGGTCCTAAAGACAACCAGGTTTCATGAGTCACTGGGAGGACTCATAAGAGTCAGCATTTAGACACAATTACAGCTGTGAGTTATTATCGTGAAAGGATACAGAACAAAATTATCAAAAGGAAAAGGCACATGGGGTGACATCCAGAGGAAACCAGGCACAAACATCTAAGGGCCCTCTCTAAACACAATACATGCTTAGTGCCCCTGGCGAGTTGTATAGCATGGGCATGGGCGGACTGTCATCTACCAGAGAACCTCACTAGAGACTCAGTTCCCGTGGGTTTTATAGGTGGCTCGTCACACTACATTCTAGACTTTCAGAAGGAAAGCAGGTGACCAGCCAAAGCCACAGGGAACAAAATAGTTTAGGCACAGAAAGCCACTTTGATCAGTGATCAGTTTGAAGAAAAATGTCCAGGAATTATTATAGATAGTGGTGATGGTTGCACAGCTGTGTGACCATTCTAAAAAACATTGAATTGCACACTGTAAAATAGTTAAAATGATGACTTTTGTTATGGGAATTTTGTCTAAGAGAAATACATCCCAGTTGGCACCATTTCTATAAAAAGGAATAGTGAGAGATAAAGCTTATAATATGGTTTCGCTGTGTCACTACCCAAATCTCATTTTGAATGGTAATTCCCACAATTTCCATGTGTTGTGGCAGGAACCTGGTGGGAGGTGACTGAATTATGGGGGCGGATCTTTCCTGCGTTGTTCTCCTGATAGCGAATGAGTCTCATGAGATCTGATGGTTTTAAAAAGGGGAGTTTCCTTGCACCAGTTCTGTTCTCTTGACCGCTGCCATATGAGACATGCCTTTTACCTTCCACCAGGATTGTGAGGCCTCCCCAGCCACGTGGAACTGTAAGTCCAATAAACCTCTTTCTTTTGTCAACTGCGCAGTCTTGGGTATGTCTTTATCAGCAGCCTGAAAATGGACTAATACAGTAAATTGGTACCAGTAGAGTGGGGCACTGCTGAAAAGATCCCTGAAAATGTGGAAATGACTTTGGAACTGGGTAACAGGCAGAGGTTGGAACAGTTTGGAGAGCTCAGAAGAAGGAAAATGTGGGAAAGTTTGGAACTTCCTAGAGACTTGTTGAATGTTGAATGGCTTTTCCCAAAATGCTGATAGTGCTATGGACAATGAAATCCAGGCTGAGGTGGTCTCAGACAGAGATGAGAAACTAGTTGGGAACTGCAGCAAAGATGACTTTTGTTATGTTTTAGCAATGAGACTGGTGGCATTTTGCCCCTGCCCTAGAGATTTGTGGAACTTTGAACTTGAGAGAGATGATTTAGGTTATCTGCTTGAAGAGATTTCTAAGTAGCAAGGCATTCAAGAGGTGACCTGGGTGCTATTAAAGGCATTCAGTTTTATAAGGGAAGCAGAGCATGAAAGTTTGGACAATTTGCAGTCTGACAACATGATAGAAAAAAAAAATCCCATTTTCTGAGGTGAAATTCAAGCCAGCTGCAGACATTTGCATAAGTAATGAGGAGTAAAATGTTAATTCCCAAGATCCTGGGGAAAAATGTCTCCAGGCCATGTCAGAGTCATCACAGCAGCCCCTCTCATCACAGACCTGGAAGCCTAGGAGGACAAAGTGGTTTGGTGGACTGGGCCCAGGGTTCATGTGCTGTGTGCAGCCTAGGGACTTGGTGCCCTGTGTCCCAGTGACTCCAGCTGTGGCTGAAATGGCCCAAGTTAGAGTTTGGGCTGTAGCTTCAGAGGGTGCAAGCCCCAAGTCTTGGCTGCTTCCACATGGTATTGAGCCTGTGGGTGCACAGAAGTCAAGAATTGGGGTTTGGGAACCTCTGCCTAGATTTCAGAAGATGTATGGAAACACCTGGATGCCCAGGCAGAAGTTTGCTGCAGGGGTGGGGCCCTCATGGAGAACCTCTGCTAGGGCAGTGTGGAAGGAAAATGTGGGGTTGGAGCCCCGACACAGAATCCCTACTGGGGCACTGCCTAGCGGAGCTATAAGAAGAGGGCCACTGTTCTCCAGACCCCAGAATGGTAGATCCCTTGAAAGCTTGCACCACACATGTTTGAAAAGCTACAGACACTCAAGGCCAGTCCATGAAAGCAGCCTGAAGGGAGGCTGTCCCCTGCAGAGCCACAGGAGTGGAGCTGCCCAAAACCATAAGAACCCACCTCTTGCATCAACATGACCGAAATGTGAGACATGGAGTCAAAAAAGATCATTTTGGAGCTTTAAGATTTTACTGCCCTGCTAGATTTTGGACTTGCATGGGTCCTGTAGCCCCTTGGTTTTGGCCAATTTCTCACATTTGGAATGGCCGTATTTACCCAATGCCTGTACCCCCATTGTATTTAGGAAGTAACTAACTTGCTTTTGATTTTACACGCTAATAGACAGAAGGGACTTGCCTTGTCTCATATGAGACATTGGACTGTGGACTTTGGAGTTAATGCTGAAATGAGTTAAGACTTTGGGGGACTGCTGGGAAGGCATGATTGGTTTTGAAATGTGAGCACATGAGATTTGGGAGGGGCTAGGGGTGGAATGATATGATTTGGCTCTGTCCCCACCCAAATCTCATCTTGAATTGTAATTCCCACAATCCCCATGTGTCATGGGAGGAACTTAGTGGGAGGTGATGAATTATGGGGGTGGGTCTTTCCTGCGCTGTTCTAGTGATAGCAAATAAGTCTCATGGGATCTGAGGGTTTTAAAAAGGGGAGTTTCCCTGCACCAGCTCTCTTCTCTTGTCTGCTGCCATGTGAGACGTGCCTTTCACCTTCTGCTGTGACTGTGAGGCCTCCCCAGCCACATGGAACTGTAAGTCCAATAAACCACCTACTTTTTAAAATTGCCCAGTCTCGAGTATGTCTTTATCAGCAGTGTGAAAATGGACTAATACAACTTATGAGTTGAATTTGGGGTGAATTTACATTATATTGAATGTCAGGTAAGGAGACTGAACTCTATTTTGTAGTTCGTAGGAAGGCCAGCCTAGGGAGTTTTCATGGAGGGAAAAGTTAATGGAGACTGCTCTGTTGACAGGATGTAAATAGCAGCTGGGAAGGAAAATGACAACATGCAAAAGAGTCTTTTAAAGACTCTAGTGAAAATGTTTCACATGCCTGTGACTCAGTTCTGATGATGGCTGTGATGCTCATCATCAAAAAACTTGAACTTGTCTTTTAAGGTCTCTATCTGGTCAACAGCAGAATAACGGCTACCATGGACGGTTCTATGTGTGGTCCTGGATTTCCTAAGAATTCTCCTGATCCTTGCTTCCTCTGTTTCTGCTCTAGAAGGGAAAATTGGAGATCAGAGAGTTGAAGCTACACCTTGCAATAC
This sequence comes from Homo sapiens, assembly GCF_000001405.40. Taxonomy (NCBI): domain Eukaryota; kingdom Metazoa; phylum Chordata; class Mammalia; order Primates; family Hominidae; genus Homo; species Homo sapiens. The sequence continues at coordinate 80,799 of NW_012132919.1, forward strand.
AGTACAGCCTTTATTTACACTATTAAAACCCCTTGGCCAAATGGACAAAGTGACAGGCTTAGCCCTTTGTATGTTTGTCCTTATATTTGCTTATTCAACAAGTATTCACAGAGCATCTTCACTTGCCAGGCCAGGTGATTCATAAGGAAACAGAGCCTCAAGGTAAAATCCAAAGAGCATGTGGTTTGAAGCCAATAGACAGGTACTCCAGTCCCAGGTTCCATGCTTACTACCCAATTGATTGCTGCCTCTCAGCCATTCCTTTCTTCACCTACACGATGTACCTGACCAGGCTTTTCTTATGTAACTACTGGAGGCAAGGTGGGCTCTCTTGACTGAAAGCACTCTGGGAACACACAATTTTGGCCACCATAAATGACATTAAAGAATACAACTTTTGCTTTAGAATCTGCGATTATTGTTTGACTTTAGCTAAGTAAGCATTTTGTCAAATCTAACAGCAAAAGCTTCTCAGTAAAGGAGCATTTCAAGAAACCTGTGACCCTCATAGCCACAACATTTAAGATCAGCATCAAATATTTTGTGTAAAGGTTCCACAGATGTTTGATTTTTTGGGGTAAGGAAACTGAGGCTTACAGATGTTTTTGAGACTTAAAGAATTGACACGTCAGTCTCTAAATGAAAAACTGCGATTAAAACCCAATGCTTCTGCATCAGGAGGACTAGCTAATGGTTGCTGGGCTTAATATCTGGGTAATGGGTTGATCTGTGCAGCAAATCACCATGGCACATGTTTACCCATGTAACAAAGCTGCACATCCTGCACATGTACCCTGAAACTTAAAAGTTGATGAAAAAAAACCAATGTTCCTGATTTATAGATAAGTAATAAAAACAACAAAGTATCCTTTTAGCTGAATGATCCCTGCTTGCTAACATTGATGAATTTAGAAATGTGTCTTCAGTTGACCTCTACTCACTATTATTTTTAATTAGTTTTCTTAACAGCCTTAATAGTGTTTAGAGCATTTTATGAAACAGTGCCCTCTAGTGGCTAAGGATACACTTTTAAATTGCAATAACAGGTGCTATTTTTAGCTAGCTGGAGAATTGATGGCGAGGCTGGCATTTAAAGAGATGTATTATCTTGTGGCAGATGTGTATATTGTACATGTGTAGCAAATAAGCATGAAGACAGTTACTGTCTGGCTTGTTAACTAGGTGTATGATTTCTTGATCACCGACCTATTAAATCACTTATTAATATATAATCTTATCGTGAGTGTAAATTTAGCTGCCTGTCATTTATAATAACATTAGCGATGTGACGTATGATCATTTGAGCAAGAGCACTGCTTTCTGCCAAAGCCAAGAGCCTCAATAATTATTTTTAAACTGTAGTTAGGTATGATTTAAAAGAGATGTGAGTACAAGAATAGATAACTCAAGGATCAACGTATGGGACCTAATTTTTATGAAAAATTACTCCTGTCTCATTCTTCTTTTCTTGTCCAACAGATCATTACAACCCAAAAGCTCAATACCATATTCCTCAAAATGCAAATTAAATACTGCCTCTCAAAATAGCCTTTCTTAACTAAAAATATCCAAGTTTATCTTTTACAAATTTAGGCAGTTTTTGGTTAAAAAGACAAAACGGTAATGGAAAATATACAGTATCAGGGTGTTTTTTTTTTTTGCTGTGGAATGCTATTAAAATTACATGTTTTTGAAACTTGTCGTTTGTGGTTTTAAATCCTCAATCATGCATTACCTAATATATGCATATCTGGGTCCATGCAGTCAAAGTTACCATGTTGAAAGAGATTTTGCAGTTTAGGAAAGTAAGGATCATAAATGTTTAGTGAATTAAGCTGACAAAAACTATTCCATTTTGTAATTGCAGAATCAGAACTAGGAGACTGTCTCTTGACTACCTGGAATGTATGATTTACACTTGTGTTCTGGACAGCAGCATCTGGAAAGTCTAAATACTGTAGTCTCTTCAGAGACTTCCAACTCAGATTCCTGGGATTCCAGAGCTGGCAGGATCCCCTGTAGTCTGGCACAGACCTCTCAGCCCATACTAATCCTTGGCTTAATTTTATTCTGAAAGACTTTTTAAAATAAACTTTTTATGTTTTAGAATAGATTTACATATATAGCAAAGTTGCAAAGGTAGTACAGAAAGTTTCCACATGCCCCAAACCCATTTTCCCCTATTATTATCATCTTATATATTATGCAACGTTTGACACAATGAATTAATAGTATTGATATAATGCATCACTGTTAGACAAAATTTATGCTTAATTCAGATTTTCTTAGCTTTCACCTAATGTCCCCTTTATCTCCCAAGGATCCCATCCGGGACACCGCAGTGCATCTCTTTCAGTTCCTCTTGCTGTGACAGCTTCGCAGAAGTTCCTGTTTCTTGATTTGGGTGACCTTGACAAAAGGGTACTTGAGGAACATGGGTCACGTCTTTTATAGAATATTCTTCAATTGCATCATTTCTGTTTTGTTTTGTTTCATTTTCCCTCCTAAGTAGACTGGGTTTATAGGGCTTTGGGAGGAAGACTACAGAAGTAAAATGCCTTTCTCATCACATATCTAAGGAACAGGCTATCAACATGATTTATGGCCATTGGTGTTGACCTTGATCACCTGGCTAAAGTCGTACTTGTCATTTTCTCTACTGTAACTACATTTTTTTACCCCTCTTTCTATACTGTGCTCTTTGGAAGGAAGTCACTATGCATAGCCCTCACTTGGAGTGGAAGGCAATGCTCTTTCTTCTTGAGAGCAGGGTATCTGTAGAAATTACCTGGAATTCTTCCATATGGAAGATTTGTCTACTCTCCCCCATTTATTTATATTTATTTATCTATAAATTATGTATTTATTATTTATTTATTGAATCATTTATTAATATCAGTATAGACTTAGAGATACTTATTTAAGACTGTTGGAAGTCATTGTTTAATTGCCAAGATTTGAAAAAGTTGATTTTGACAATGTTTGCAATCTCATTGCTTTTCTGGAAGAGATTTTTGGAGATCTTAACTCTGCTATTTGGATGTAGCTCCTTTTTTTGTAGGATTTTACACACAGTTTTTTTTTTCTCAGTTTTTGTTGTGTTCAGAATGGCCTGAACTCTGACACAGTTGATATTGGATGATATTCTTATCCCTTTCAATGCTCTCAAGAATTTTCAGTAAAGATTTTTTAAGTTTCACAATTTTTTGTGCTACCAGGAGAAATGTGTCTTTAGAGGGTGACTATTGAATATATAGAAACCCACATTCCTGAGATTTTTTTGTGTTTAATGGTATATTTCATAATAATACAACTATCTTAAAAAGAATCACATTGGCATATTTACTCTGCATTATTCAAATGGCTAATGCTTTGAGAAGGAACATCCTCTTTATAATAAAATGAGTGCTGTCTTGTTTGGCTTATTTAGTATCAAATTAATGTGATACTCAGTGTTTCATTAAGTTCCTCCAAATAACCAATTTTAAAGCAACTTCTTCATTCTTTCATGGATATAATGCTAAAGGCGTAAAAAGATGATGACCCATATTATCTGAAAGAGAAAAACATGATTTCTCCTTTCTCTCTTAAAATTAAGATCTATATTTATGATAGCAAAAGTCAGGTGCTTCTCTCCCCACCTTTTAGAAGCTGCTTAGTGTGATCAGGGGATAACTACAGAGAAGCGCTATCAAACATTTCTTTCTGCACTTTCAGTTAGGAGGATGATGAATGCATACATACACATTTTCCCTTTCTAGTAGCAATAGATTAACACTGTTGGGAATAATTCCCCTAGAAAGTTTTCCGAGAGCCTGGAAATTTCACATCATACTTTTCTAGCCCTGGGTCACTGTGAGTTTGCCAAAGCCTCCAGCAGATAGATAAATTGGTTTCCAAGTGAACAAAGTATATTAGTCAATCTCCTGAGGCATTTTTTCTTTGATGGCCATTGAGTGTGTTAAGCAGCAACTGTATGCCCTTCATAATAAAAAGCACTTTAAGTTGAGTGATGGAAGGCTCTTGATACTTGTGGAATGACAGAGAAGTTTTGAAGAAATGAACATTAGTGCAAGTAGACAATATTTAGAAAGCATAATCAAATAAAGAGTTTTAAGAAACCATAATTTTTTTTTTTACTTTAAGTTCTGGGATAAATGTGCAGAATGTGCATGTTTGTTACATAGGTTTACATGTGCCATAGTGGTTTGCTGCACCCATCAACCCGTCATCTATGTTTTAAGCCCTGCATGCATTAGGCATTTGTCCTAATGCTCTCCCTCCCCTTGCTCCCCGCCCTGATATGCCCCAGTAAGAAACCATAATAAGTTTTAAGTCAAAGTGAGATGGAAAATACAGAGAAGGGTTAGTCTTTGAAGACTTTGGAGAGGTGATTTGAAAATCAGATGTTAAAGGAATGCATGGGCATAAATTAGCAGGACATTCCAAACCAGGGCTTTGATGTGAACATAAGTCAGTTATGTGAGGAAGCAGCAGGCAAGAGCAGGACTGGAGAGGGTTTGATGTCATCTCACCAATCATCCACCCAATAAAGAAATCTCTCAGCAACCCCTGGCCTGTGGTCAGCCAATCTGTGTCTGAATGTATCGATCAAGTAATAATAGTTCAGTGCTCTTAGTGAGGAAGCCAGTGATGATTGTTACATGGCTCTATAATATTAAGATAAAATTTGTCCCCAGAATGTTCTATGCTTGGGTTCAATTATTCCTTTTGGAGCAACTCAGAATCAATCTAATATTTTGGGGAAGTGACAGTTTTTCAGATCTTGGAGGAAGAACTTATTATTAATCTCTCTCCCCCATTCAACTTAATTGAAAGAGTCTCCGATTAGAAATTTGAGAAAAGATGTTCTAGCCCCAACTCTGCTATGTATTATTTGCTTTGTAAGCAAAGAACAGTTAAACTGTCTCAACTATATATAGCGTCTATTTCCCTCTGTTCCTTCCCTATCCAGGGCTTGGCTCTATGAAAAGCAACTCGAACTCTTGCCTTCCAGCTTGGGATACTGCTCCAAGATAGCCCCCCTTTAGTGAACTCCTGTCTCCTATGCAGTTCCATCTTGTTATCTTATACCTGGATTCTCCATCTCTGCCCAGACACTACACTAATTTGGATAGTTTTATTTCTTTCTCACGTTGCAATTAATGAGGATGAGCCTGGAGGTGGGGGTTCCTCCATGGAGTCCTTCAGGGACTGGGGTTCCCTCCAGCTGGTGACTGTGGTATCTATAAGGGCTCAAATTCCTCCATCGGATACTCTGTATCTTGATGGCAGACTCAAGAAGAGAATGGTGAGGCTGTCACAGGAAGTTTTCAGGGGCTGGGCATGAAAGAGGTATGCATCTCTTCTGCATATATTTCCCATTAATTCACAGTCAGTCACTTGACCCCATCTAACTGCCAGAGAGCAGGGGAAATGTAGCCTAGTTGAGTGCCTAGGAGGAAAAAGACCAAATGTAGAACCAGTGCATGTCACTTCTGCCTCCACTTGTGCTAGAATTCAGGCACACAGTCCCCAACTAACCTCAGAGGAATTTGGAAAATGTAGTCTGGTTGAAGGCTAAGAAAGAAAAGGCACTAATTAGACTTTCCAAGCTTATCAGCTTTAGAGAAGAGAAAATAGCATAGATTTTCTATGTTATGGAGTAAAGTTGTATAATATAATAATGCATGTGAAAATGCTTATAATCTGGTAATGTGGCATAAAAATGAATGTTAATATCTTTTTTTACAAATAATTCTGGACAATTAGACAGCCATGTGCAAAATAATGAAGTTGGACCCTTACCTCACACCATAGATAAAAATTAACTCAAAATGGATCAAAAACCTAAATGTAAGAGCTAAAACTAAATAATTTTTAGGAGAAAACAGAGGGATAAAGCTTTATAACTTTGGATTTGGCAAGATTCTTAGATATAGTACAAAAAGCAAAAACAACAAAAGAAAAAATAGATAAACTGAAGTTTATCAAAATTAAAAGCTTTTGTGTTTCAAAGGATACCATGAAGAAAGGGAAAAGGCAATCTATCAAGTGGGAGAAAATATTTACAAATAATTTACCTGTTGAGGAACTTATATCCAGACTATATAAGAATGCTTAAACCCAATAATAAAAAGACAATTATTCCAATTTAAAAATGGGCACAAAATCTGAGGAGACATATCTCCAAGAAAGATTTACAAATAGCAATATGTACATGAAAAGATATTTGACGTCATCGTTCAGCAGGAAAATGCAAATCAAAAGCACAATGAGACACTACTCCCCTCTTCCTAGAATGGCTACAGTAAAAAGTCAGATAACAAGTGTTGGTGAGAATTTGGAAAAAACAGAACCTTCACGTCCTGCTGGTGGTAATGGAAAATGGTGTAACCACTTTGGAAAATAGCTGGGCATTTTCCCAGACAAATAAACATAGAGTTATCCTTTGACCCAACAATTTCATTCCCAGCTATATACCCAAGAAAAATGAAAACATATAACCATATACAACTAATTACACTAATGTTTGTAATAATATTCATAATAGCCAAAAAGTGCAAACAACCCAAATGTACATTTGTGTAATGGAACATTATTTGGCCATAAAAAGCAATAAAATACTGATTCCTGCTACATGCTACGTACTGATTAAGTTTGAAAACTGTAAGACAGTCACAAATGACTACAATATACATGATTCCTTTTATATGAACTATTCAGAGCAGAGAACTCTATACAGACAGAAAATGGGATAGTGGTTGCTTAGAATGGGGGTGAGGGGCATGGGGGCAAAGAAAGTGATAGATCAAAGTTAAGGGATTCCTTTTTGAGATTCTGAGAATATTCTAAAATTAATTATGATGGTGGGTGCACATGTCTGTGAATACGTTAAAGACCATTAAATTGTGCACTTTAAATTGATGAATTGTATGGTGCGAATTCTATCTCAATGAAGCTGTTAAAAATGAAAGGTAATATATGCATTATTGTTAATAAGATACTGGCCTACCCAGATGAAAGACTGTGCAACACTCATGGCAGGTCCTTAGAAACCAAGTTCTGACCACTCAACCATGAGAAATACTAATGAGGAAGAAATAGAACAAGCATCTCCAGCAACCAGTGTACTAGTCTGGACAGCTTTCTGATGATCTTGACTTTAAGAAAAATGTATATACAAATGGAGCTAACCTCAGAACTTAAAAATCATGCCAAGATGACCAAGATCCAAGATGATGTAAAGCTTGTAAGAAGTGTAAAGGGACCAGGCACGGTGGCTCATGCCTGTAATCCCAGCACCTTGGGAGGCTGAGGCAGGTGGATCATGAGGTCAGGAGTTCAAGACCAGCCTGGCCAACATAGTGAAACCCCATCTCTATTAAAAATACAAAAAATTAGCCGGGTGTGATAGCAGGTGCCTGTAATCCCAGCGACTTGGGAGGATGAAGCAGGAGAATCGCTTGAACCTGGGAGGTGGAGGTTACAATGAGCTGAGATCACGCCATTGCACTCCAGCCCAGGTGACAGCCCAGGTGTCTCAAAAAAAAAAAAAATAGTGTAAAGGGCATTGAACAGAACTGCCAGGTAATATTGGAGCAAGTAAGAGGGTAAGGAGGTTGAACAACTCTGAATACACTAAAAACCACTAAATTATATACCTAACTGGGTGAATTTATTTGTATGTGAATTATATCTTGATAAAGCATGTGCTTGCTCTTGCTCTCACTCTCGTGCTCTCTCTCTCTCTCTCTATGACTCTCTTACACATACACACACACATGCACACACACACACACACACACACACACACACACACAGAGAGAGAGAGAGCAAGGAAAAGATAGACCCTGGCGTGGAGGAGGTATGCAGGATAACCATGCAGTAAATATTCTTGCATGTTCTCCAGTAAGGAATGTATTTTTCAAAATTGAAAAGGAAAATTCGATATCACTTTCTTAGGAAGGGAGGGAAGATTGTTCAGGAAATAGTGAGAACACCGAGCTGCTCAGGGAGATTCACCTCAATCTAAAGTAAATTTGAGATGGGATAACATAAAAATAACTAGGTTTAAGGTACTAGGACAAAACATCTAGCATGCATTATCTCTTTTAATTGCTCAGTAACCCAGTGAAGTAGGTAATATCATTATCACCCATTCAGAGAGGTTAAGTAACTTATTCTTAGTCATGCCTGTAGACAGGATGAACACCAGTTTGAAAAACCCTCTCTCTGGCTCTGGGGGCAAGGTGAAAGCCCACGCCATGTGTTTGAGAATTCAGCGCAGGTAAAGAAATGTTTTTTTGCATTGGTGATATTTTATTTAGTAGTAACACTTTATTCCTAAGGCGTACTAGTTGACTTGTCAATGAAATTACAGAACCATTGTAAATAATCTGTAGAAATTTGCAAGCAAATGAGAAAGCAGCTGAAAGACTGGGAAAAAGAGATGATTGTTTTAGTTGTCAAAAAAGGTAAATCTATAGGACTAGTTCATAACTGGCAAAATTCTAGAGCCATTTAATAAATACAAGTATGTCCTGTAAAGCGGTTTGCATCCTGGTAACACCTAATTGTAAGCCATACAAATACTCCATTTTCCTAACTTATTTCTAGAGAATCAATTATGATCTTACCATAGTGTTATCTTAACAGCTTTTATACTTTCAAATGAAATGGATTTATTCAAACATTAGTTGGTGATATACTTTTTATCATGCTGTAAATGATCCTAATAGAATTTGTTAAAACATTTAAGTTACGAGTGAAGCACAGTTTTCTAGATGTGTGCTGGACTAACATTTGCCATAAACTATCACATAATCAGTTCCTTGATTCTTTATGGACCTGAAGCCTACTTACATAAAATTGGTCTAGTAACTAATGATAAAGATTAAATAAAAGTCATTGAGGTCATTGACAGAAGGCTATGTTTTCCTCTAAAATCATGGCACTCAATTCATAAACATTATTCATTTTTCTTCTAACTTGTATATACTTTTAGATGTAATTGTGTTTCAATTTTGATTGCCCAGCTAATCGGAAAAGCTTTAAACCTCTTAAACAGTTTCTTTATAAAAGCATAATGACGTATATAATGGCTTTCAGATAATCCTGTCACAGAAATGATTATTTTTCTCTATTCCTGGTGAACCAAAGTGCCCCCATGTGCTTCTACGTGTAATGTTATATAAAGCACTTTGAAGCACGCTGTATTATTTTTCATGACAGTATCATTGATAATTCTAATGGTAATTTTTCCTTCACACTTGGTAGCTTCCAGGCATAATGACACATCACTAAAGCTTTGACTGTTAAAGCCCTTTGCTCATGGGTGAAGAAAAGAGAATGGCAAGTTAAAAATAATGACTTAATCCTCATTTACATTGCAATGAGTTATTCTCATTTGTGGAAGAGGGATGTCTTCGATGGGGAGGATAATGAAGGCGATGAGAACTATCAGACCTTTTGTGCCCGATCAATAGGTCCCATAAATAAAATCTCAAATCACACACTACAAAGTGGAAATCATGTGTAATGGGAAGGGAGTGAAATCATCATCTTAGGGATGGCAAGTTCTTACTGAGAAGGATGACTTCATGCTGGACCTCTTGTGGTTTCCAGAGCTGTAGATGAATAAATTTTCATCCCTTGATTGATAATAAATTTTTTGAGGACAAAAATAGTTCTAGATTGAGAATTCAGTCATTAGACTAGACTCAAGGGGACATACTCTAGGGACAACTGTGGGAGACCATAGACTAGACGATGGCTTTCTTACCTGCAGGAACAGGAAAAACCATCTTCAATTTTGTGGTCTGGGAGGGACTGTGCCTAAGCAATGAGAATAAAAATACAATCTATTCTATTGAAAAGGTCTTTAGAGCATCCTTCCAGTAATCTAAAAGTGTGACACCCCAAATACACTAGTTCTTTCATTATTTTCTTCTTCCTTCTCTTTATCCTGAAGCCCTTAAGTCTACTCAATTATAGAATTTCTTCATAAATGACTTATAGGGCCATTTTTGCTGGGAATGGAATGATTTTCCATATCTTCTATTCCATCCTACCTAATTTTAGTCAACCTGAAACCACTGCTTTTTGTGAATAACGAATGTCCAACAGAACTCCCACCAACCTCACAGTCCCAGACATCTGCATTACTGTGGGTAGTCACTCAAATGTAGCTAGAGGAGGCTTTACCAGAAAAGCTAATTGCCCCAAACTTTCCTCTTGGAATTAGAGTTGAGTTTTTGTTGGTTTGTTTTTTAATGTGCCCAATTAATCTTTTATTGGTGTGGGACAAATGTTGAGACTAACAAGAAGATTTTGGATAAGTGGATAACAATCTCGCACCCTACATCCCTCCTTCATGGGGGAATGTAAGTGTGGATTGACCCAAAGCAGGAACTCTAGGGGTGAAGCAAGGACTCAGCTCTGCCTTTTCATCAGCTCTGATCATCCATTAGAGATGTCCACCCTGGGAAACATGGGAAAATTTTCACACCACCCAAAGCCCTGCACTGATTCCACCACAAGCTCCCAGTGGGGTCTGGGCCTTGTATGTCAACACAGCAAGATAGCTTTGTATGAGGACAGTTTCCTTCCCACCAGACGTTAGAGTCATCCTAGGAACAACTGTCCAACCCTGGGCACGTGCCACCCAGCAGCACTTCTGAATATGCCACTGAGGGGAGAGATGAAATAAACACCTACTCAAACCCATACATCTTTCTTAAATTAGCCACAACTAATTTCTTTCATGCTGATTTTTATTTCTAAAGCTGTGATTTCCAAAGCCATAAACTTTGGGTCTGAATGAAATTAAGAAGGGTTAGAGGGCTGGGCACGGTGGCTTATGCCTGTAATCCTATCACTTTGGGAGGCCGAGGTAGTGGATTACCTGAGGTCAGGAGTTCAAGGCCAGCCTGATCAACATGGTGAAACCCTGTCTCTACTAAAATTCCAAAACAATTAGGCAGGCATGGTGGTGGGTACCTGTAATCCTAGCTGCTTGGGAGGCTGAGGCAGGAAAATCCCTTGAACCCGGGAGGCAGAGGTTGTGGTGAGCCAAGATAGCACCACTGCACTCCAGTCTGGCCAACAGAGCAAGACTCCCTCTCAAAAAGAAAAAAATAAATGGGTTAGAAATACAGCTAGACGCTAATTCAGACCCTCTCCTTCTCATACTTTCCATCAAACCCATTTTTCTTTCTCAGGAATTCTTTTTTTTCAATTGCTGTTAAATATATAATATAAAATCCACCATTTTAACCATGTAAAAGTATATACTTTAGTGGTACATTCACATCGCTATGCACCCATCTCCTCCATCCATCTCCAGATCCTTCCTACTTTCCAAACTGAAACTCTGTCCCTATTAAAACTAACTCCCCATTCCCCCAGCCCCTGCACCCACCATTCTACTTCCTGTCTCTGTGAATTTGACTACCCTGGGGACCTCATGTCAGTGGAATCACGCAGTATTTGTCCTTTTGTGACTGGCTTATTTCACTTATCATAATGTCTTACGGGTTCATCCATGTTGTAGCCTGTGACAGAACTTCCTTCTCTTTTAAAGCTGGATGATATTCCATTATATAGACAGACAACATTTTGTTTACCCATTTATCTGTCAATAGAATCTTGGATGGCGCCTACTTTTTGGCCATTGTAAATGATGCTGCTATGCACATGAGTGTACAAATATCTGTTCGAGTCTCTGTTTTCACTTCTTTTAAGTCTATGCCTAGCAGTGGAATTGCTGGATCAAGTGGTAATTCTATGTTTAATCTTGAGGAACTGTCATAACATTTATAAGAAGCTCTTAATATTTCCAGAAACCATCCCAAATAGTGGATGAGCCAAGAAGACAAAGTCATTTCAATGCCATTTTGACACTCAAGAAATTAGGCCTTAAAATGCTTAATGTACAAAAGAACAAGCAATATACACTTGTCTCTCTTCAATGGAAATAGAGTTATTTCTGTGTGAGAGTCTGTTACTACATTCTGTGGAAGTGGCTGGAGAGTTTACCTGGCTTACAAAGTCTGTTTTGAATGGCCTGTCATAAAATTTGCATTTGGGGACTCTGGCGTGGCACTTCAAAAGGTCAGCCACCATTCTCTGGAATACCATGTGATTGGAGAAGCAGATTGTTTCCTTCCTCATGGAATAATTGTCCTGTCCTCCCTGGTGTGCTTTCTACAACAATCAGGGTCCACCGTGCATGAGAGGCCAGAGGACCTAGTTCTGGGCCATGGACTAGATTCCTGACATTGGGCATTTACTGTTTCTGAGTTCCTTCCTACCTTCCTTCCTTCCTTCCTTCCTACTTTTTTCCCTTCCCCTTCCTTCCTGTCTCCCAGGCTGGAGTGCAGTGGTGCGCTCTCGGCTCACTGCAACCTCTGTCTCCTGGGTTCAAGCACTTCTCCTCCCTCAGCCTCCTGAGTAGCTGGGACTACAGGCACGTGCTACCATGCTTGGCTAATTTTTTGTGTTTTTGGTAAAGACAGGGTGTTTCACCGTGTTAGCCAGGATGGTCTCGAAATCCTGACCTGATCCGCCCTCGTCGGCCTCCCAAAGTGCTGGGATTACAGACGTGAGCTATTGCGCCTGGCCTGTTTCTTTATGAGTAAAATGAATAAGCTTGCATGTGAAGACAACCCCAAGTCTCTTCCAGCTCTAAGTTCCCACAGTGCACGGAGGCCCAGATGATCACTGCAGGAATAGGAAAAACCATCATCAATTTTGTTGTGTGGGAGTGTCTGTGCCTAAACAGTGAGAACGAAAATACAATCTATTCATTGAAAAGGTCTTCAGAGCTCAGTAAATTTTGCCAAATTCGATCCATGGTATACATTACACCTACTACCTTTTCTGATTTCTTTTCTCTCTTTTTCCTACAAATAATCACTCTTCCTCAGGTCTGGGGATAGTCCAGTGAACTTGACAGAGTCTTCAAGGTCTTTCCTGGGGCCAGACTCTTGCGGCACCAGCTCTGTTTAATGTAACTTCACAAAACTGCTCCATAGCCTGACTTCCTGGAAGGGTGTTTTCCTGCTTTCCCAGATGACCAGAAGGACTTCCTCAATACCTACTCCGAACTCTGCTTTTTTTTTTTTTGGTCCAGACAGAAACATAAAAAGAGAGGTGCAGCATTCCAAGATGCAGGGAGCGCAAAGGACTGGGAATGTCAGGAGACCATGCTTAGCCACGCAGGAAGGCGCTGAGGAACCGTGCTACTGAAAGGAGAATGAGAGCTGAGCCCCAGGGGAGGCATCTGCAGTCTCCCAGGAGAAATTTCTCACATGCACTGACTCAAGAAAATGTGACGTATAATCATGAAAGACATATATTATACACACCATGGCTGATTCCTACGAAAGAGGAAAACAACCAGGCAAATCTATCTGGGAAGCACAATTATAATATTTATTCACTTGAGTAGGACTCTATCCTCTGATTTAACACATGGAGTGAGGACATAAGACTCAGGACTGGGATGAGAAATGTAAGGTGCATGAATTTCAAAAATAATAAAATGAAAATATTTATTTGCTTATGGTTCAATTACGTGGAATAGAAGCATAAGCAGAAATCAAATGGTCAAACTTACAAAATCTGCTCTTCTTTCTGAACAGTGATCAATGGCCTCACTGAAAGGACTCAGGGCTTGGATGTCTCTGTGGGGTAGTTTATTCTAGCACTTGTGTGTGTTTTGCCTTGGCAACACGGACCAAGGCACCAGAATAGCACACAGCAGCTGAATGCCATCTCGAATTTTCTGATTTCACTCCCAGGCTTCCAGTCTTTTCTGTTATCTTTTTTTATTTTGAAATCCTCATTATGTGTTTGCTATATGAAAGCACACCAAAATGTAGCATGACACAGTCCCTCCCATGAAAGCAGAATGACACATGGGGAAGGAAAAACATGATCCAAGGGCTGGGAGATGGTGAAGAAAGTGCTGAGTGTGGACCAAGGTCATCACTTGCCTCTGTAGCTCCCCTGGCAGGACTGGACATGTAGGAGGCACCCCCACAGTCAGTATTTATTTGGTGTTCTAGGTTGGAATAATAGTGTGATTCCATTCAAGGGAAAGGAACAAAATCAGATCCCAGTTGTAACACTCATTGCAGCATTTTCCTTGAGTCTGGGGCAGGTGTGTCCAGCGATTCTGCTTGGAGAAGGAGAAGATCCTACAGATGAGCTTCTCCACAGGGTGAGAGTTGAGCACCCAGCACGGTGTCTGCACAGAGGATGACAAAAATCTTGAATGAATGAATGGAGTTGAATAAGCAAACCTAGGACAGGGTGTGGAAGGTGAACTCATGGTTCATAAAGTCAGATACTTTGGCATTAGTGAGGTAGGCCTGTGTATGTGAGTATTCACACGCAGTTGTTTCTGTACTTGTATGAGAGTTACTAATGTTGATCTAGTTGACATTGTTTAGTTCCTAGCATAAATAAAGTATCATGACATTGTTTAAGGGAAGAAAATTTACTTTGTAATTCTGTGGTGTTGAAAGTAGGGAAAGAAATATGTTGCCTTTTAAATACACAGCAGCGCTCTCATGGAGATCACATGGAAATGACAGCGGTGTTGTGTCCGGAAAGCAAAAGCAAAACAAAAACGAGAAAAAATGAAACCAACAGAACTTGGGCACTTAAGAAATCCATTTCCTAATGGAGTAAACAGATATCGCACTGCAAGTTACAATTTTCAACATCGTTTACCCTACACCTCCACCATTCGGAGAGGCAGCTCTAATAAATGAGATGCAGTGATGACCTTTACCGGCTCCACCGATAGCTATAAATTGAGCTGAACATTCCCATCAGCTAACAGGACAGAACTCATTACTGACTGAAGATTGCTACGATGCCTTTGACTGAGATGTGTACCATTAAAATGAATGCTCCTTCACTCGTAAAAACAATGTCTTGTACCGCAGAAGACCTGATATGCCATTCATTGATTTTTGTGGATGACTACAAGAACAACCCGTAAAGATTAGCTGAGTCTTACTGTGTGTTAGTTAAATTATGATTCAGATCAATTTGTTCTTTTTTGAGAGAGTTGATTTTTTGTTTCTTAAATTAGAACCTTTGTCGATGGCATGCATGGAATATAATTGTCAGATTTACAGTCCTGATGATTCAAGCTTAGATAAACACTTGTTCCAAATACATTAAAGTAAAACTTATATCCATTAAACTAAGTCAGGATTTTGAATTTTTAAAGCTTTGGGTACATAGAAAAAATTTGGTTTTGCCGATTTTTTTGGCAAAATGACTCTGACTTTGAGAACAAACCAGTGTCCATGCCCAGGTGACAGCACTTGCCCTGCTGTGATTATTAAAGCAGCCCCTTGCACTGCCAAGTGTCCTAGTCCAGATGATGAATTGCACAGTCTTATTGGAAGTATGTGAAATGGGAGGACTGTAGCCATACTTGATCTCTAGGATACACTTTTATCAGGCCCTACAGGTAAAGTATTCCCATAGGCCTTGTGGATTTTCACAGGAAGGCCTAAGTTACTCAGATGTCTGGGAGTTGTCCCTGGTTGGTTTCTGCTAATAACATTAGTAGTCCTGACGCTTCATACTTAGCAGGACCTAATAGGTGAACCCAGATATGGTTCTAATGTCATTTAAGTTATTAATTGACATTATTAATATCCCCATTTTTTTTCAGATGGGAGTATCAAGGCACAGAAAAGCCATATAACCTGTCTGAGGTTCCACAGTTAATAGCTAGTAAGCATGGGAATTTCCTAGGACTCCAGGTTAGGGAACTACATCAGACACGGGTTCTCATTTCACCAGGAAACAAATGCGAGGACATTCTTACTTCCACTTACTACAATATATTAATGACTAGTGTGTGATGATACCTCCACCCACTCGGAGCTTAGAGTGATAACCCGGTTATCCTGCAGCTTTCAGATGATGGGTTCTACCTCTCTAATTGACTAGACTTTCTCTAATAATACTGGCAAAGTCTTTATGGGTCAAAGTCAGAAGGGAAAGAGTCTCTAGTCAGAGCCAGAGTCATAAGACACAGTGAATGTATACTAATGATGCCACTTGGTAAACTTCCAGCATGTTATGCTGGAGGAGGCTGGGAGGCAGTCTGTCCCTCTGTCCCTCTGTCCTTGGTGGCACAGACAGCCCCCTGGAGCCAGCCAAATTCAGACTCACATTCTGCCTAAGGCAGAGGGACACAGGCAGACACACGCTACCAGGAGACGTCTGCCTTTGACATCCCACGTTTGTGACACATGCCAGATCTTCTCAGAAAGAAACAGTGCACCACAGCCACTGTGCCATCAGGCACTTTGACACTCACAGACATAAATGGGCAAGTCGGAAGGAGTAGATGATTCCCTCTAAGAGGACCTGCCTACTTTTCCTGGGAGAGTGAAGAAACCTCTAATCATTGGTTTCTCTGTTTTTCCAACCCAATGAGTAGACAGAATTGTTCCATGTAATGATTTTTCTTCTCTCTGTATAAGACACTGGCCTTCCTGCTGTTTGCATTTTGGATTATTTTGTTTGCTTTTAAGTCAGAAGGACAAGAGTTGTGTATAGACAAGCTTTATCATAGATTCTACCTAAAATTCTTCTGGAATATGATTCAGTTTTTTCCTTTGTAAATAAAATCATAGGTGAATGTGTGGTCAAAAGGTGTAGTTGGTTTTCCCCTTTCAGAGATCTGAGTGCCGCTGGGGGAGGTGGCATCTCATATTTATAAAACATGTTATTTATTTTCTTACTTTCAAAATGCTAAACATAGCTGATCTCAATTAATCAGCACAGTAACCCTTTCAGAAAAATAAGGTATTCTATTACTGAAAATGAAAGACTGCAAGGTAAAGTAACTGCTCTCAAAAAACGCTGCAATGGGATTAGAACCAAATTCTCCTGATTCCAAAGCCAGAAGTTACAGTCAGAGTATGATTGTATTTCTTTATTAAGATTAAAGTCAGCTCTCAGCAGCAGAAAGATTAAAATAATACTAGTTTAAGAAAGATGGAAATTTACTTGTCTCTCAAATTTATTTATTTTCCACATATAAGTCCAGAGGTGGAATCTACACTGTATTTTGCTTTTATCTTCCATTTTCATCTTTTGCTTTTATCTTCCAAGATCACCTAAAGGAACAAAATGGCTGCTCTAGCTCCAGCCATCATAAAAGCCTTCCTGCTAGCAGATATGAAAGAGGAGAGGGGACTATCATGCTCTATCCCTTTCAGGACTCTGCTTTAGAGGTTGCACTGCATACTTCTGGCATAGCCAGTCTGTGGCAAAGCCTAAAATAGAGGCCAAATTTCCAGATTTTTGGACCAAGCTCTTTCCAACAATCTGTCCCTTACGCCTGGAGCTTTTTGTCACCGTTGTGTTGATGTAATCTTTGGTCAAGTTTCTGTCTCTCAGCCTATCCATTAGTCTTTGCTAGTAGGAGGTGATTTTTCTCAGGGATGCATAGATAAGGTAAGGTGGAGGCTTGGCTCCATTGGAAATGCTGAAATGAATTTACTGCAAAACTAGTGTTTTCTATGGGAGTGGGATGGGGCAGGAAAATCTATTGCATCTCCACCAGCCAGAATTCACTTGCGTCTAGTAAGACCTCCTCACATTTCCATCAGTGTCTACAACTTACAGAGTCACAAAAAGCTCGGAGACAATAGGAACAGACATCAAAATTATCAGTAACGCAAAATATAAGTGCCCATATAATGCCTAATATAAGTAGCATGTACCGGACAATGCCTCGTATTCTACTGAAGAAATAGCCAGTGATCTTCTGGCGGCCCATTTCAAAGTCTTAAATTTTTTTGACACCTTCAGTAATACTTGTTATTGATTTGCTCTAAGTGAGGTTTTTTAAATAATAGAATCATCATAATCCCTTTAGAGATCCTTCAAAAAATCTTAGATTTATATAACAGCTAATCATAAGAATCCTTAACAATGTGTATATGCGAAGTCCTTTTGTTCGTTATCAGGAAAGGGCTTGGCTGATAACACATTTCTGAGGATATTCATTCCTGGATAAATTTTTAAGGATTTTTATTCTTTGCTGATCTTTATTTCACCTTCACCCCTCTCAACATTTGAAAGCCTACTTAACTCTATATTTTCTTTTATGTTAGGTTCAAGTGAAAAAATAATTTGCAAAAACAAATCCTAATTCTACAAATAAATTGTTTTTTTTTTTTTCCTTAACCATGTAGCAGGTGGTTGACAATATTAAATACAGAAAGAGGGCCTTCGTTGTTTCAGTGGGGTTTCAGTGTATCAAGCTGTTTAAAAGTCTAAACAGGACTCTGTTAAGGCACATAAAAATTGAATAGAAAATAATGGAAATGTAAAAGATTTTAAAAGCTATTTGGGCAATGCATTAATCAAAGGCAAATTGGGCAGTCTCAGATCTTATGATTAAAAATTAAGTGAAATTGAAAGCCACTAAAGTCATCTTTGAAATGTAGCTACTTCCCAAATAATTTCCAAGCTGTGATTATTTTTTTGAAAGTACGAAAGTACTTATCAATGTCATTACTGACGTTGTAAAAATAGATATTGTGGTATCATTTTACCGTAGTTTGAAGTCCACAGAATGTAATAACCCTCCTCTCAGTCTATCCACACACGCTTACCCATTTCAGCCCCAGACAATTCTCCACCTTTGTTTCCAAGGTTTAGGGTTTCTAAAGCAAATGCCTCCTAATAACCTCAGACTTACAAAATACAGTACCTGGTTGCATTCTTGAAAGGGGGAAGAAAAATATTACGTGGTCTTTCTAACTCTTTTTTTTTTCTTTGAGACGGAGTCTTGCTCTGTCCCGCAGGCTGGAGTGCAGTGGCGCGATCTCGGCTACTGCAAGCTCCACCTCCCGGGTTCACGCCACTCTCCTGTTTCAGCTTCCCGGGTAGCTGGGACTACAGGCACCTGCCACCACGCCCGGCTAATTTTTGTTGTTGTTGTTGTATGTTTAGTAGAGACGGGGTTTCACCGCGTTAGCCAGGATGATCTCAATCTCCTGATCTCATGATCCGCCCGCCTGGGCCTCCCAAAATGCTAGGATTACAAGCGTGAGCCACCACGCCTGGCCTCATTCTTATTCTCAAGATCCTGCAGGAAAATCAGGTGTAGTGAACCTCCCAGTCAGGTTATCCCGCCACGTATGTTAAAGTTGCCAGCGTAAGTTGGAATCAAGAGGCCTGCGTGAGGCCCTTGAGCCAGAGGGAGCTCATTAACCAGCCAGCAATTCTAATGTTCACATCTCACTTAGGGTCTTGGAGAAGCTGGGAAATCTCCAGGTCTCGGGAGCACGTCTCACAAATGTCAAGGCTGTACCACCTTGGTTAAGCGCTTACTGGCAGGGCCGCTGAATGCTGTTTGTATTTAGAATGGAAAGAAATATTACTAGAAAACTTGCTCTTTTGAAAGAAACCTTTGTACCTCTTTGGAGCCCACATTGCCTTCCTCTGACAATTTTTGTGAGGTAAACCAGAAAGCAGAAAACCCAGACACGAGAAAAAAAAATTGGAACTCTGTCTCCTCCCTCCAGGCCTAATCCTACGTACTAAACTGCAGCCCCGCTGTAGAGCTTCCCAGCGTCTGCTCAGGAGCCCCCTGAACTGTCTTCACCTGTACAATTAGTGGGTGTTATGGGAACGTGCACCTCTGGCTTCCCACCTTCGGTATCTCCCACTTCCTGTACTTGTTTTACCTAAACACGAGAATAGTTGCTCACAGTTTAGTCTTTCTCAATTCTACCCTCACCCAACGTTCCCCCAAAACCCACCTCTGGGGCGGGGATCGCCTTCCTGATCATCCAGGGAGAAGCATCTAGGCTGTTTTGAGTCACTGCTCCTCACTGACCGAGTCATTCCCAAGTGGTGCCTGCACTGTGGACAAGAGCTCCAACCCTATTGTACGTTTCTAGAAATCAGGGATTATGTGGTCTTATTTTCTGCTCCATTTTTTATGAAATATTTTAAATATTTTCTTGAAAGGGGGAAGGAAGACATTACTGTGGTCTTTCTAACTCGTTCTTTTCTTTTTTTTGAGACGGAGTCTTACCCTATACTGTACTCTACAGAAAAGTAGAAAACATATTTCAGTGAACACCTATATTACCAGTACAAATGCCAATTAATTTCAATGCCTTGGCCATTTTTGTGTCCTCCATCAGTTCTTTTTTTGCTGAAAATATGTAAACATAAATTATACTCTCATTTTCTTTCATCCCTGAATACTAAAACATGCATCTCCAAAGTGTATCTTCCCATACATCCACAGGAACATCATTGTATCTGACAAAAACGACCATAATCCCCAAATATCATTACATTCCCAGGCCATATTCAAATTCCCTTATTCAGTCTCAAAATATTTTCTGTAGCTTTTGTTTTCTTTAAGCCTGGATCAAATTAAAAATCATAATTGTACTTGATTATGTCTTTTACATTTCTCTTAATGGTAGAATGGCTCCTCTTTTTTCTGTGATATATGCTATTTCACAATACACCTGGATTAGGCCAGTTGTATTGTAGGCCCTCCTGCATTCCGCACTTGACTGATTGCTTTCTTGTGAGGTGGTTTCACAGGTTTATCTATAATGTCTACTTGTCCCATGATTGGTGATTCGAAGGGGAGATTAATGGGCAAAAGAGGTGACCACCAAATTTCTCTATTATAAACATGTTTTTCCCATTGAGAATGGCGTATTTTCTGTGGGATAATATCCCATTAACTTTTCTCCAAATGAGGTTAGCATCCATCATTGATCCTTACCTGCACCAAGTTTTACGACAGGGGCTACAAAGCGGTGATGTTCTGAATTAATCACCTCTTCTACACTTACGAGTTGACAGTCTTCTGAAAGGTGGAACTCTCCTTCATAAACAGGCTATTTGGTGTACCTGAAGTACCAACAAAGCAGGCAGCTGAATCCTTGTCTGTTTTTAATTATTAGTTTTCAGATTAAGAAGTTGATATCATAGTTATGTTCAGCTATGGAAAATAAATAGTTTTGTTTTCTTTAATGTTTTGTGAGTATCACTATTGACTTGTGCTTTCTAAAATGTATTCACTGTGTCTTCATCACCGATAGCATTATTCTTTTGGTGTTTGGATTGTCCTAACTTTGACCATGGAGAGCCCCTCCAGAGGGTTATTCTGTCCTTGTGTCAGTTATCTAATGCCACAGAGTGCTGTGTAATAAACAACTAACAACCTTCCAGAACACATAGAATAAGTCATTTTTCACAAACCTGGCTGTTGGCAGGTGGTGGTTAGGGAACTCCACGTATCTCATGGCTGATGTGCTCACATGGCCAGACACCCAGCTGGATGTTGGCTGATCTGGAGTGGCCTCTTCTTGGATGACTGGAGCAACTCGGTTTGTTCTTCATGCCTTTGATCCTTCTCCTGGGCCAGGACACTAGACCAGGCATGTTTGTCTCATGGCAATAGCAGAACCCAAGAGAAAGCAAGTCCACTGTGTAAGAGCTTTTTAAGCACCAGCCCGCTTCTACTTACTGATATTCCATTGCCCAATTCTAGTCCTGTGTCTGAGCCTAGAGTCATGAGAAAAGGCCCGGAAAAATTAGATGGAAAAGGGTGGGGTGAAGAATTGGAGCCATTTACAATCTACCATGGTCTTATTGATGTGTCCTTATCAGTCACTTGTCTCCCCCACTGGTCTTTGCTTTCTGGCCAGTAAGATATTTTAGATTTATAATATACTTTGTGTGCCTCAGACCTGGAAACATCCATTTTTTCAAGGATCCCTGGCTCATTTTGGGGAGAATGGTACTCAGAGACAAAAATCTGGGTGTCTAGGATAATCATGCTTCTAGCCCGTTTTCATGGACAAAACTAGCAAGTGTGTAGTTTTGAACAATAAAGAAACATTGGTTCCTATTGATATTTCTGATGCAAATTCAACATCACAGAGTTTTAAATTTTAACTGAATTTCCTTTTGTTTGTTAAAGACAGGGTCTCACTCTG
Source organism: Homo sapiens (assembly GCF_000001405.40). Classification (NCBI taxonomy): domain Eukaryota; kingdom Metazoa; phylum Chordata; class Mammalia; order Primates; family Hominidae; genus Homo; species Homo sapiens. The sequence goes on from NW_012132919.1 coordinate 102,830, forward strand.
TTACCCAAGCTGGAGTGCGGTGGCACAATCATAGCTCATTGCAGCCTCAAACTCCTGAGCTCAAGAAATCCTTCCACTTCAGCCTCTTGAGTATCTGGGACTACAGGCAAATACCACCATACCCAGCTAACTTTTAAATTATTTTTTTTGAAGAGACGGAGTCTGGCTATGTTGCCCATCTAATTTTTCAGGCTCTCAAACTCCTGGGCTCAAGCTATTCTCCTACCTTGGCCTCCCAAAGTGCTGGGATGATAGGCATGAACCACTGCACCTGGTCTGAATGTCCATGATTAAAAATGTGGGTCTCTTTTCTCTTGTACAGAAAATCTTAGCTCCTAATAACATTAACGGAATTGTTTATTTTCTTGGAATGATGTCTGAGAGCACAATGCTGTGATTAACACGGAATGCTACCACAGCTAATATGCAGTAACTGTCATATGATTATCAGTTTCATTAAAGTCAGAGAACGTGGCTAACACATGGTCCATACCAAATATCTAGCAGAGCATCCCGTACATTGTAAATATTTTTTAATGCATAAAATGTCTATTGGTTTTGTTGTTTTGTTGTGTTTTTTTTTTTGAGTTTTGCTTCTTGTACCTATCATTTCTCTTTTTGGAAACACCTACCTTTTCTAAGCATATTCTCATGCAAATGAGTTACTGATCTACTTTAAGCAGAATGCACATAATTTCTTTTACATTTCCTCACCGTCTCTATGTGTAGTATTTCCTTGATATGCTAAAGGGCTGTGTGCAGTTCTCATAATCCCAAAGAAAAGGATGTAGTTATCATGTTGCGTACTTTTTAAAAATATCATGAGTTTTAACAAAACCTAAAAACCAGAAGAGGCTTTGGCATTTCCATGGCATTCAAACTCCTACTTTTTAATCCATTGATTCTGATGACGATTACTGAGGCTCCTGCTACAATATAAGCCTGCATTCTTTTTTAAGGTCTTGTGACATTTGGGTTATGCTGGAATTTGTTTTTAACTATTTAAAGATTTCCTATTTTGTCCCACAGTGGTTGTCTTCTTTATCTTTAAGATAATATCTTTAACACTGAAGACATTATTGGCAAGAGGAAGGTCTGGAGGTCTGCTCACCACCTTTGGTGTTCTCTTCCATAGCCATGGCCTGAGAAGGGTGATTTTTCCAGGTGAAAGATAGGCTGTGGTGTAAACTAAGACATTCCAAATGAAACATAATCACTTAATATAACCTCGTAGATAGTGCTGTCCAAAAGAACTTTCTACAGTATTGGAAATATTCTATACCCACAGCATCCAACACAGTACCCACCAGCTATATGTGGTTACTGAGAACTTGAAATGTGTCTAGTATAAATGAGGAGCTAAATTTTTAATGTTATTTAATTTTAATTAATTTTAATATTAATGGAAACATGTGGCTAGAGGCTACATATTAGCAGTACAGTTCTAGATTATAAATATGGTCCAACTAAAATATTTGCATTTGACTCATGTTTCCTGAAAGAAACTGGCAGTAGGAATTAATGTCAGCTTTCTAATCATTTTTGATTCTTCTTATAACTTGCCATACACACCTTATTGCTTAAGAGCCAAAGGAAAAATCACTCTTCATGAGAGGCAGTGTATCTACATCTGGACTGAAGACCTTCATTTGGCTGCTGTGAGTTCATAGGCTCCCAGCTCCTGACTTTGCAGCGAAAAATTTCAGAATTGGAGCTTGTGGCCCAGTGATTATTGGAGAAACATGGTGAAAACACAATCACTAATAGCCTGCAACTGAAATATCAGATTAATTCTATAAACACAAATTACTGCAGAAGCCCAAAAGGGATGAAATGAAAGACAGGTGCAACAGACCTTTATTTACGTTATAGCTGCATGATGTTTTTAAAACTTCTTGAACTGTAAATGTTAATAGAAAATGTTAAAGTAGAAAGAATAGTAAATAAACCTCCAAATCTGTTTGTTTTTTAAGTATCATTTTAAGTTCAAGAACTTATGCATAGTCGATGAGCTTCAATCTTTTGCAGTTATTAGTTTTATCAATGCTCCAATTGTTTTATTCTTGGCCAGTGGGAGCCTCTCCAAGATGGCTTCTGAGTCATTTTGACATGGTCCTAATAAACTTTGACCTTTGGGCTCAGATATTGCCTATCACAGACATGGAATTAGCCATTTACAGAGAGAATCTGGGTTTCATTTAGTGGGAAATGGTATTTCTAGACTGCAGTGTGGATACTGGAGATTACAGATTAATATTTTATGACCATAATATTGATGTTGACTGTCTTAAGATATGTGTATGTTGTATGCTATTTGTTATCAGAACATACATAAATACAAGTAAATTATAGATAGAAATAAAATAAATAATAGAACACTGTTTCTATTGCTAGTTATTTAAAACTAAAAGAAGATGATAGGAGAAAAATTAAATTTACTACATTCATTGTGTATACTCTTTGTTTCAGAAATTAAAATCTATTACTATGTAGGGATTCTTTGTGATATTTATACAATCAGGGATTAATGTACTCTTCAAAACCAAACAGCATATATAAATTACACTTAGTAATGAGATTTGTTAGCTCAATTGTTAATGAATCTACAGTACCATAAGATGCCATAACATTATTTAAATTTTTAACATACGCATGGTCTTCAAAAGCCTTTTTAAAAATGCATTATTGTCAAGCAAAAGTAAACAACATATAAAATCAGCTGATCTATGATACTATGAGTAAATAACTGGCATTTTATCTAATTGTTGAGAGAGTTAGAAAAAATAATTTGTTATTGTTATATCAGTTTGAAAAAAAAAACAAAAAAGGAATCATCTTCCTAGTCCTAGCTACCAATGCAATTTTTTTCCATTTCTGTAATATTTTCAGCTTGAAGAATCGCATAGGTACACAGGAAAATGAGATGAGTGGCATATTTTAAATGCAAAGCACTAGATATATTGCACATGAAAAGTAACTAGCAATTGGTGGTGCTGTAAGCTTTCCTTTTGGAAATTTTCTCCTAGGAATCTGACATTGTATGTTTCTTAGAACTCCCATTGAGCATGGCTTTTCAACTTTATCTCCCTATCCATATAGCGTTAAAATGCACTCTACACTCCCCTATGTAACATCTTATTGCTTTGCAATTATAAGGATAAAATAACGATAATTGAATCTCATAAAGAGGCACAAAAGGTATAATTTGACAAAAAAGAAACACCATGCCTACGCCTCCGTCCTTACTCCACCTCTGTCATGGCCTCCTCATTCTAGAGCAGTTACTCTTACACTAGTGGTTCTCGTCATTGTTTTGTATGTAAGGTGGATATTTGGTGACTTAGACTTATGATAGTATTAATTGGCTCAATTCCTCATACATATATTTTTCATCTAACTTTGTACCAGTCATTATGCTAGGTATTAGAGATAGAAAATCAGGAAGCTGTGGCCTCTTCTCTGGCGAATCATGTACTCTAGTGCAGAAGACAGAGAGTTATTACAAACAAATAACTCTATCATGCTGTGATGAATATAAAATAGGATGAATGAAGTATGGACTGAAAGCAGAGAGAGATTAATTCTGCCTGGAAAAGGCATGAAAACTGTACAAGGGAGTTGGCCTTTATGCAGATCCCAGGAAGATCTTACCCGGCCATAGTGGGAGAAGGACATTACAGGTGCAGGGAGCAGTGTGAGGGAGTGCAGAGGATTGGGAGACATGGTGGTGCTCCAGATGCTTTGTTGGGGTGATAGGCATTCAAATGGGAAGAGGGGCCAAGGCCAGAATCGGAAGGACCTTAAATGTCAGGCTAAGAAACTTGACTAAAATAGTTTCTGCCAAAGGGATAAAAAGGAGTTTTAAAAGAGAGATATGGCTTTGTCTGCATAGAGAATGGAAATAAGGAGAGCGACCCATTAGGAGGCTGCTGGAGTAGTCTATGGTGAAGGTGATGACAATCAGAACCAAGGCAGAAACATTGGAAATGAAGAAGACAGGTGATTTGAGAAGGCTTCAAGAGGAAGAATGGGCAAGTCAGGAAATAATCCAGAGAGGGGATCCCCAGTCACTGCCTTCCCACATTGCTGAATGACCTGTGAATCATATCTGTGGCAGGGAATCAAGGCAGGTCAGCTAAAGAGCTTAAACATCTTCACTAACAACACTAACAACAAAGCTGCTACCCAAGAAACAAACTTGGCTGTGTAAGCCTAGCAAAGAAAATTGCCTGCTAGAACAAAGGAAATCACATTTATCGGGAGATAATATCAAAACCCAGAATGTCCAGAAATTAATATCCATAATGTCTAGGATATAATCCAAAATTACTTAAGATACAAATAACCAGGAAAGTGGAACACATGCTCAAAATAAAAGAAAGCTAATCATTTGACCTGGAAATGGAACAGATTTCTGGAACTGACAAAGATTTTTTGAAAGCTATTATAACTATCCTCAACGAATTAACATAAGCCTGTTTTGCAATGAATGAAAATCTCAGCAGAGAAATAGAAAATCTCAGCAGAAAACATAAAGGAACCAAATGGGGACTTATAAATAGAACAATAAAAATTCTGAAATTAAAAAATTCACTGGATAGACTTGATAATTTAATTACCATGACTTAGGAAAGATTAAATGATAGATCAATATCCAAGGTGAGGCTGGGAGTGGTGGTTCATGCCTATAATCCCAGCACTTTGGGAGGCCAAGGCAGGTGGATCACTTGAGATCAGGAGTTTGAGACCAGCCTGGCCAACATAGTGAAACCCTGTCTCTACTACAAATATGAAAATTAGCTGGGCGTGGTGGCACATATCTGTGGTCCCAGCTACATGGGAGGCTAAGGCAGGAGAATCGCTTGGACCTGGGAGGCAGAGGCTGCAGTGAGCAGAAATCACACCACTGCACTCAGCCAGGGTGTCAGAGTGAGACTCTGTCTCAAAAGAAAAAAAAAAAGAAAAAGAAAAAAAAGAAGGAAATTATTCAAAATGAACAGGGAGAAAATTTGTTTTTAGTGCGTCAGAGGCCTGTGAAGAGATATCCATCTGCCCAATTTATGTGTAATTAAAATTCTAGGAGAGAAAATGGATAAAGAAGTAGAAAAACAATTTGTCAAATTAACAGCTAAAAATGTGATGAAAGACATACCTTGGCAAATACAAGATGCTCAGTGAACATCAAACAAAATAAACACAAAACAGCTCAATCTAAAGCACATCACATCATTAGAGGAATGCAAATCAAAACCATAATGAGACACCATCTCATGCCAGTTATCCCAGAACTTGAAAAAAAAAGTCAAGAAACAACAGATGTTGGCAAGGTTGCAGAGAAAATGTAGCACTTTTACACCTTGGTGGGAATGTAAATTAGTTCAACCATTATGGAAGACAGTGTGGCGATTCCTCAAGATCTAGAAGCAGAAATACCATTTAACCTTGCAGTCCAATTACTGGGTATACACATGAAGGAATATAAATATTTCTAGTATAAAGATATGTACACATGTATGTTCACTGCAGCACTGTTCGCAATAGCAAAGACATGGAATCAACCCTAATGTCCATCAATGATAGACTGGATCAAGAAAATATGGTACATATACACTATGGAATACTATACTATGCAGCCACAAAAAGGAACAAGATCATGTTTTCTTCAGGGACATGGATGGAGCTGAAAGCCATTATCCTCAGCAAACTAACACAGGAACAGAAAACCAAACACCGCATGTTCTCACTTATAAGTGGGAAGTGAACAGTGAGAACATATGGACACATTGCAGGGAACAACACACACTGGGGCCTATTGAGGGGAGGCGTTGGGGGAGGGAGAACATCAGGAAGAATAGCTAATGGATGCTGGGCTTTATACCTAGATGATGGGTCGATCTCTGCAGCAAACCACCTTTATACCTAGGTGATAGGTTGATCTGTGCAGCAAACCAGATTTACCTATGTAACAAACCTGCACATCCTGCACATGTACCCCAGAATTTAAAATAAAAGTTGAAGGAAAAAAGAGACCAAAAGAATAAAAGCACATAACAGTCAGCTTCAAAAGCCAAAGGCAGCACGTAAATCTTAAAGGCACCAAAAGAAAAATAATACGCTCTGGGAAATAATTCAATTAATGGTTGACTTCTCATTAAAAACCATGGTGACCAGAAGAGAGTGGAACAGAGTTTCAAAATGCTGAAAGGCAAAAAACAAAACAAAAAACCCTATAAACTGGAAATCTATATTCACAGAAAATATTCTTCAAGAATAAAGGTTAAATGACATTTTCAGATAAAACAAATATAAAATAATGTGTTTTGCCAGCAGACCCATACAAAAAGAAATCCTAAGGGAATTTCATCACGGAAGAAAATGATATACAATGGAAACTCAAATCTTGATAAAGAATAAAACACATCAGAAATGGCCAATTGTGGATAAATGCAAAAGACATTTTTTTCTTTTTGACTTTTTAATTTTAATTTCTTTATAAACCATGTTGTGTCATAAACTAAAACTATAACATTGTCTTCTGTAATACGTAAATTATGTTGATGTAATACACATAACAAGTATAATTGCGTGGAAGTGGACACGGACCTGAAAGCTTAACAGGTTTCTATAGTTAATAAGAAGTGGTACATTATTAACTGCTTCTGGACTTTGAAAATTTAATGGTATATATTATAACTTCTAAGACAACCACAAAAAAAGCTAATGCAAAGAAATGCAACTAAAATAGGAAAATTAAAATTCTAAAGATATTTAAACAATAAAATGAAAGCCAAATAATGAGAGAGAAACAAGACAGAGGAGACACTTAGAAAACAAACAAACAAATGATAAACCCAAACCCAGCCATATAAATGGTTTTCTTATATGTGCATATGGTATATTTAAAGGTTAGACTATATTATTATCCATAAAAATGACGTTTCAAAAGACTGAAATATATACAGAGTATTCTTTGATCCAGTGGATTTAAATTTTAAAAATCTATAACAATAAGATGGTCAGATAAACTTTAAATATTTGGAAATTAACAGATTTCAAAATACCTACTGGGCATATGAGACATTTGAGGGAAAATTGGAAATAATTTGAACTGAATAATAATGTAATTGAGCATATCAAAATTTGTGAGACGTCACTAATGCTATACACACAGGAAAAATTTTAGCTTTAATAGTTTAACTAGAAAGGAAAAAAAATATCAAACCAAAGACCTAGGCTTTCATCTTAACAAGCTAGAAGAAAAGAAGTAAATTAAAAGTGAAGCAAAAAGAAGGAAGGAATAACAAAGAAAAGAAAATAACTTTCTGAAGTAGAATACAGAAATAATACACATGATAATGCCAAGAGCTTGTTCTTTGAAAGGTCAATAAAATTGGTAAATATCCAGTTTGGTCAAGAAAAAAAGAAGACACAAATGACCAATTCAGGAAATAAAGTAGGGAGATAAATGCAGATGCCACGATCCTACTAAAGCATAACCTGTTATCTTACTAAAAAGATAATATGTTATTAATTAATAGAAAATGCATGCATATTTTTTAAATTAATATTTTTAAATAAATAATTTATTTTTAAAATAAAACAAAATTTATACTGATGGGGTTCAGGATATACTACCAAAAAATATGGCACCTTGGCAGTGGAGGAAATAGCAGAAACAAAGGTCTCTCTGCCCTTCCTCCACACTTCTCCCCTAAAGCAGGTCATGCAAGAATCCTCTGACTTTCTTCTGAAGAAGGTTACAAGACTTTCATTCTAGAAGTGTCATTCTTGTACTCAGAAGAAAGGAATTTCCTTATTTCACAAGACACAGGGACACAAAGAAGAATGTCAACCAACAGGCCTTGCTAAGTTCCCCATTTATTACCATTAGATCACATCACCTTTCTTCAATTATACTTCTCCATAAATGTCCACCATTCATCAAACCAAAGCATAAAAATACACAGGTTTCCCTGTTTCTTTGGATGTTCCTGTCTGAAGTTTCCCATATCACATAAAACTTATGTTACATAAATGTGTATGTTTTTCTCGTGTTGATGTGTCTTTTGTTGTAGGTGCCTCAGCCATGAGACCCTGATGGTGAATGAGAAAAGATCTTTTCTCTCCTACAATACCAATACATTTTACAAGCTAGATGACATGGACAAATCATCAAATGACTCCTATTTTCAACACCGACCTAAGAAGAAATAGGAAACTGAAGCAGCTCTATTTCGGTTAAAGAACTTGCATCTGTAATTTAAAGCCTTCTCACAAAGAAAACTTCATGCCCAGTTGGCTTCATTAATTAATTCTATCAAATATTTAAGGCAAAAATAATAAAAACCCAACATAAATTTTTTCAGAAAATAGAATAGAATGGAACACTTCCCAACTTATTTTATGAAGCAGAAATACTCTCACTCTAAAACCAGATAAAGAAATCACAAGAAAAAAAAGAATTAAGACCAATATCCTTCATGATCATGAGGCAAAAATGCCTGGCAAAATATTAACACATAAAAATCAACAATAGGCCTGGCATGGTGCCTCACACCTCTAATTCCAGCACTTTGAGAGGCTGAGGCAGAAGAATTGCTTGAGCTCAGAGGTCTGAAACCAGCCTGAATAACAAACTGAGACTTAATCTCTACAGAAATTTAAAAAATTAGCCAGGCATGGTGGCATGTGCCTGTGGTCCCAGCTACTTGGGAGGCTGAGTTGGGAGGATTTCTTGGGTCCAGGAGTTCATGGATGCAGTAAGCCATGATCATGCTACTGCACTTCAGCCTAGGTAACAGAGCAAGACCCTGTCTCAAAAAAAAAAAATCAATACTATATAAAACATGATAATATATCATGACCAATGGGTTTATCTTAGGAATGCAAAGTTGGTTTAACATCTGAAAATCAATGAACATAGCTCACTGTATTAATGACAATAAAAGAGAAACCTCATAAGATAATTGCAATAGCTGCACAAAAGGCATTTTATAATAATCAGCGTTTTATGATAAAATCTTTCAACATCCTAAGAATAGAAGGGAACTTCCTCACTTATTAAGGTCATTTATGAAAAAAAAATTACACCTAAGTTATATTCAATGATGAAAAGTTCAATGCTTTCTGCCTAACATTGGGAACAATGAAAAGATGTGTTCTAATGCTGATTTTATTTAGCATTGTAATAAAGGTCCTGGTTAGTGCAGTAAAGCCAAAAAATAAATAAAAGGTACACAGATTTGAAAGGAAGGAGTAGACCTGTCCTTATTTGCATAACATGATTGTGTATGTTAAAACCCTAAGAAGTATATTTTTTAAGTGAACTAGAACAAAAAAGTGCATTGAGTAAAGTTGCAGGACACAAAATCAATAGACAAAATTAACTTTATAATTACAAACTAACAAATAATGAAATTAAACAGTAATACCATTTACAATGAAAAAATATTGGGAAATTTTGGGATTAAATTATTAAAAAGAAATTCAACATCTGTACATGAAAACTACTAAAATTCCAAAATGAAGCTAAGAACGATCTAAACAATTAGAGATATGTACTATGTTCATGGATTGGAATAAGCAATATTTTTTAAATGGCTGTTCTCCTTAGATTGAATTATAGATTCAATGTAATACCAATCCTAGTCCCAAATACTTGTTTGATGAAATCAACAAGATAATTAAAAAATTTATATTGAAATACAAAGGACCTAAACTATCCAACACAATTTTGAAAAAGTAAAACAAAGTTTGAGGTCTTATACTACTTGATTTCAAGACTTACTCTAAAGTTACAGTAATCAACACAGTGTGGCATTGGCATAAGAATAGACACAGATCAATGGAATGGGATAGAAAGTCCAGAAAAAGAAATCTACACATACATTTTCAATTCATTTTTGACAAAAAAAAATGCTGAAGTAATTCAGTGGGAAAAAGACAATCTTTTCAACAACGTACTGGAATAACAAACGAGTTATGTATCTGAAAAGAAAGGAACGTTGCTGCTTGTTACATATACTGTCTAAAAGATAACTAAAATTTGATCGTAGACCCTAAATGAAAGAGCTAAAATTATTAGAATTCTAAAAGAAAACATGAGATAAAATCTTTGTGACATTGAGGTAGGCAAAAATTTCTCAGGACACTAAAAATATGAATCATAAAAGAAAAATACAAAAAATAGATTTCATTCACTTTAGATTTTTTTTTTTTATTATTATACTTTAAGTTCTGGGGTACATGTGCAGAATGTGCAGTTTTGTTACATAGGTATACACATGCCATGGTGGTTTGCTGCACCCATCAACCCATCACCTACATTAGGTATTTTTCCTAATGCTATCCCTCCCCTAGTCCCCCATCCCCTGACAGGCCCCAGTGTTTAAAAAATTAATTGGGAAAAGAATAAGGAAAGCCACACCCTGGTAAAGAATTTTAAAAAATACATCTCAGACAAAGACTCATATCCAGAATGCTTAAAGGACTCAGTAATAAATTGTAAAAAAAAAAAAATTAAAAGTGGACAAAATTTTTCAAGATAGTTTGCAAAAAACCTGCAAATCACCCATAATCACATGAGAAGATGTTCATTATTACTATGTATCATCAAAATGCAAATTAAAACCTCAGTGAGATACCACTACACACCTGCTAGAGTGGCTAATGTTTAATAGACTGATTTTGCCAACTGATAGTGAAGAAATGATGTGCATGTGACTCTTATACAATTGATGGTGGAAATGCAAAATGGTATAGCTACTTTGGAAAATAGTTTGGCAGTTTCCCATAAAGTTAAGTGCAAACATACCATATGACCCAACAATATAATAGCTACAACCTGGCAGCAATCTAAATTGTCACTAATGCATGAATTTGAATGCATAAAAATTGAGGTCTGTCAGTCCTATAGATTACTCCTTTGTAGTATAAGGGAATGAAACATTAATACATGGAATAACATGGATAAATCTCAAGATCATTATGGTAAGTGAAAGGAGAGAAACACAAAAGACTATGTAATGTGTGATTCTATTTGTAAGAAATTCTAGGAGAGGCAAAACTACATAATGACAAAACAGAGCACTTGTTACCTGGGTCTATTGATGGAATAGATGATCCACAGTAAAGGGGCATAGAGGTCTTTCACATCCCTTGTTAGATTCATTTCTAGATAGGTTATGTTTTGTGTTATTTTTGTCAATGGAAAAATATAAAAACTCATGGAAAGATGCTAAGAAAAATACCTAAATAAATGGAAAGGCAGACCAAGTACGCAGAAGGAAGACTCAGGGTTGTAAAGGTGTCCAGTTTCCTCCAAATGGAACTTTCAATTGAATGAAATCTCAATCAGTTTCCCAGGAGAATTCTTTACTAATTTAACAGGCTGAATGTAATGCATATAAGGCTGAATCTGACACATATAATAAACAGCAAAATCCTAAGGAACACCAAACCCTTCGTGAAGGAAACTCATAAGGGAAAATTTCCAGATAGCAAGATGTACTACAAAGGTACATAATTTCACAGTGTAGTATCAATGCAGGAATGAGTCAACTCATCAGGGGACACATAAAAAAAGTCCCATGTGACCCAATGACTGCAGATATTCTTGCTGAAATATTATTGATCACATCACATCTTATAGAGCGAATAATGACCTTCTCAAATTGTACTGCAACAAATAGTTGCAGATATAAACATACAAAATTAGATTCCTACCTCACACCATACATTCATGTCATTTCCCAGTGAATTAAGGCTTTATTTTTTAAAGGAAAATTCAAAAGTGTTTCAGAAAATATATAGGAGAACATTACTATGACCATGTAATGGGAAAATATTTATTATATATGTCATATCAAACACAAAGGGTAAACATTTTTACTATATTAATAATTTCTGCTTATCAAAATATTTTATATATAAAACGAAAACCACAACTAAGAAAATGCACTTTCAACACATAAAACTAATGAATATTTCATATGGGATGTACAAAAAATCTCTTACAAATCAATTAGATAAAAACATTCCAACAGAAAAAAGTGGGCAAAATAAATAAACCAATGAATTTTATAAAATAAGACAAGAATAGTAAATAAGCACATGAAGAGACTTTTAAACTGATTAACACTCTGATGATGCAAAATAAAATCAGAGATACCATTTTTACACCCACTGTATTGGAAGATAGTAAGAAGTTTGAAAATAGCAAGTTTTAGAGAGGATGTGAGTTATGAGATCTCATTCACTATTGGTGCCTGTTAAAGTGTCATAACCACTTTTGAAAATAACTTGTAAGGTTAAGATTCCCATAACCCAGGCAAAACCCCGTCTCTACTAAAAATACAAAAATTAGATCAGCGTGGTGGTGCAAGCTTGTAATCCCAGCTACTGGGAAGGCTGAGGCAAGAGAATCACTTGAACCCAGCAGGCAGAGGTTGCAGTGAGCCGAGATCATGCCATTACACTCCAGCCTGGGCAACAAGAGTGAAACTCCGTCAAAAAAATAAAAAAAGAAAGGAAGGAAAGAAGGAAGGAAGAAAGAAAGAAAAAGAAAAGGAAAGGAGAGAGGAGGGGAGGGGAGAGGAGAGGAGAGGAGAGGGAAGAGGAGAGGAAGCAAAAGTCTTGTACATTTTTACCAAAAGATGTAAAGAAGAATATTCATGGTAGAATGGTTTGTAATAACAATAAAACTAGGAATGACTGGTATCCATTGTAATATACACTAGAATCGTGTACATCAGTGAGAACTAAGAGCCAAGACAGCATGGACTATTATATTCACCTCAGAAATATGATATAATATAAATTACTGAGGAACACAGTAAATATCACCTTATTAAGGTCAAATGCAAAAAAAAACTAAACAACATAGTATTTAAAGATACATAAATATGTGATAAAACTGTTAAAAGTACCGGAATGATAAAATTCAGGAGGAAAAAAAAGTAATCATACGTTCTAATTCTGAAATGGTCTCATTGGTTTCCGTAGAAACAAGCAGGTTTTATGTACCTCAAATGTAGTACGGCATAATCTTTTTTATGTATTTATTTATTTTATTAAGTTCCGGGATACATGTGCAGGATGTGCAGGTTTGTAGCATAGGTAAATGTGTACCATGGTGGTTTGCTGCACCTATCAACCCATCACCTAGGTATTAAGCCCTGCATGCATTAGCTATTTATCCTGATGCTCTCCCTCCTCCTGACCCCTGCAACAGGCCCCAGTGTATGTCGTTCCCCTCTCTGTGTTTTCATTGTTCAGCTCCCCACTGCATACTCTTAAACAATCATTATGTTTCATGGTGATCAGTAATGTGGGGGCGGGGTAGAAGCAGAGAACTTGGAACTCGTGAGGGGGTGTCAAAGGTAGTAAATCTTCATCCATTGAAGGCAAACTTGATATTTAGAAATTCATTCAGAGTAAAAGCTAATGGACGAAGGGAGATAAGGTGACAATCAAATTAAGTAGTAACCTTTTTTGCAACTTATATAACTAACAAACTTAAGTGCTTTCTAAAAAAAAATTCTAAAATTTGCTATATAAGGGCAACTTCACTGAAATGATTGCAGAGTCTTCCATGTGAGTTCTTTTAATGTGAGATAGCTCATTCAATAGATGCACCTTGGTGTGTTTGCTTAAGAAACAGAAAAATATGACTCATTTGATTTGTTCATGAAAGTATTACCAGGAAAATAAATGAAAACAATTTCACCTAAACATCTGTTAACTTTAGCACTGAAGCTTTGGATGTAATTTACATAATGCATAAAGTAGATTGATCTAGGACCATGTCGATGATGAAATTTTCATTATATTGATAGACTTTCATTTTCCTCATAAAATCTACACATACTTAAATTATAACAACTCTGCTTTTGAATTAATCCAGTCTGCATAATGTTTTTCAGTCATCAACTATTATAGTGTGAAATGCCTTTACCATCAAACTGGCTCAAGGTTACTGCCTTCACTCAGAAAGATAGTGTTTTCCTTCTCCCCACTGTGGGCCCTGCCTCTCAACCTGCAACCCTACATTTCAGAAAGTAGTTTGCCTGTATGAAATTTTCTTACTCTCTTCTAAGGTAGTGGCTGCAAAATGGTACCTATCTCTGATTTTAATTTGCATCATCAGAGTGTTAATGACTTTAAGAGTCTACTCATGTGCTTACTTACTATTTTTGTTTTATAAAATTTCTTGGTGTACGCATGTTCTCACTCATAGGTGGGAATTGAACAATGAGAACACTTGGACACAGGAAGGGGAACATCACACACCAGGGCCTGTTGTACGGTGGGGGGCAGGGGGAGGGATAGCATTAGGAGAAATACCTAATGTAAATGATGAGTTAATGGGTGCAGCACACCAACATGGCACATGTATACATATGTAACAAACCTGCATGTTGTGCACATGTACCCTAGAACTTAAAGTATAATACAAAAAAGAAAAAAAAAAGGCATAAAAATTCTAGAAGAAAACATTGGAAAGTGTCTTTATCATCTTGGAGGGTCAAAGATCTTTCTAATTATGGTTCAAAACTAAGATGTCGTTAAAGATGGATACATTTGATGAAATAAACATTTTTTTAAATTAAAAAAAATTATTGGTGTATTTATTTTGCCTATTTTTTTCTGTTGGAGTGTTTTTATCTCATTGATTTTGGGGAGTTGTTTTTTATACAACCCTACCTTTCAGAAATACACCCTTTCATTCATAGGAGATATATATGTACATGTCCATATGCATACCATTTTGAGTAAGCGTTTTTACTAATTTTCTAAGGGGATGCTTGAAATCTTGGTTGTTCATCTACAAGAGGCCAGACTCAGCATCTATGAGATGTATAGATTCAAAGGTATTCATGGCAGCGAAGAGCTAATTCCTCCAAGCAAGAGCACCTAGGGGAGCTCGTGGAGCAGATGAAAGCATGTTTTGCAGGATGTGGCTATGGGCCACAAGCATTCTGCATACAGATTTACTCCAAAGTTGGATATAGGAAATTAGTCCCTTTACTAACAGTTGTCTTTGGCTCCTTGGAGTATCTGCTTTCTTAATCTGCTCTTTGTGTCCTGCCCAAGAACATTCTAGCTGTTCCAAAGGTTTTCGGTGTGTGCGCCTGTGCTTTCTATGTCAATGTGTAAAGTAGGAGAGAAGCATCATGTGAGGCTGGATTAAGAAGAGCTGGGCATATTGCACCATATTGAAAGGGCCGTTTGATGAGTGGGAGCCTATCTTTTTTTCAGAACTAGTGATTTTACTTTACATAAGCATTCGTCAAAAGTTGAGGAGAGTTCCTTGATGTTTCATGTGGTTTTTTTCTACTTCCTCTCTTACAGATACAGAATTCATCTACAGAGAACAGAAAGGAACAGTGAGACTGTGGAATGTTGAAACAAATACTTCTACTGTCTTAATAGAAGGCAAAAAAATTGTAAGTACTCTCTTTAATGACCGGGATAATTTCAGTTTTTCTTCCTGCAAGTCAATAAAACAGAAAATGACTTTTGGTTTCAACTTTTAGCATAGCCAAGGAGAAGCAATAAACTTGTAATACTACAGGCTGAGCAACCAAAGATAATGTGAAATTGAAACCACGCTAATTCAATAAGATGAAAGCACTGTTTCTTTCATTGTCTGGGAAATTTCTCTGCAGGTGTTGGGAACAAGTGTTGCATATCATATATAATTAAAAGATAAAGTCCTAAGGCTTTTACACATTTACAGAACAATTGCAATAATGCATGTAGAATACTTCAGGAGAATTTGCTCAATCCTGTTTAAAAAAAGCTCGTCTCCGCATGCATAGGAAGTATTAACTTAGGCACTGTGACTGTACTTACCCTAATTATATTAAGTGGATGCTTATGCCTCAAAGTAAATACTGAGTCAATATGAATGCCACTGCTTTATGATTTGGGAAAACTTGTTTTCCCAAATATATGTATATTTTTTGAGACAGGATCTCACTCTGTTGCCCAGGCTGGAGCGAAGTGGTGCAATCATGGCTCATTTGCAGCCTTGACCTCCCAAGCTCAGGCAATCCTCCCACCTCAGCCTCCTGAGTAGCTGGGACTACAGGCGTGTGCCGCCGTGCCCAGCTAATTGTTTTTGTTTTTGTTTGTAGAGATAGGGTCTCACTATGTTGCCCAGGCTGGTCTTGAACTCCTGTACTCAAGCAATCCTCCTGCTTTGGCCTCCCAAAGTGCCGGGATTACAGGCCTGAGCCACTGTACTCGACCCCAAAGATTTAAATGGCATTAAGATTTGATGTTCATGTACGGTTAAAGATATGTATTAGAAATATTGACTGGAGTTATACACCAAAATCAATTTAAAGAGAATTAACATTTTGTTTGTTTACAAAATGTTCAGACTCTTATTAGAATAAATAAATCTCCAACTCAAAGCAGTTGATTCTTTTCTTGTTTGAGACACTGGGGAAATCAAAGGACAGAACTAAGGTTAAAGCTATGTTAAAAAGCAAGAATTGAAACAGGCTGTGAATCCCGTTAAAGCGATCATAACAGGGCTCTGGTATGAATCAGAAACACAGAAATCCTAGAATCCTATAATCCGGGATTAGAGGAGGTTGTAAAAAAAATTAACCGGTTCCCTGGTTTTACAGATAAGGATCCTGAGCGAGACTTAGAGCATGAGCTTTTGAGTCTCACAGCTCAGTGATGGCTGAGGGAGCATTCAGGTGGTGTCCCAGAAGCCTGTGTCCCAGGGAGAAGGAAGGATGGCTTCATCTTTACCCTACCCCATCCCCAGATCCACAGAAATGCTGTGCTGCCTTCTTTTCCCTCCTAAAGAACATGTAACTTGCTATTTAAATACTTTCATTTCTTTTCTTTTGCATAAAGATACCTTTTTATTAAAAGGTTTGCTGAGATTTAGTATTAAATGCATGCTGCCCCTAACATAGACTGCAGGCGTAAGGGAGGCCTCACGCTGTTGGATGATGGCATAGTTCCAAAAATGATCACTTTATTGAATTAAATAGTATTCTGCAAAGTAGGACCTAGGACAAATGAATGTGCCTGCATTTTTGCATTAAAAAAATCATCTTTGGTAGAATTACTCCCCTAAGAGAATCTGATTCAACTCACTTAGAAATACTAACGTTGTAGAAATGGTTTTCTAATATTAATAGAGAGGATAAAATGATCAGACTGTTGCTGAGCGTCAGTGCATTTTAATGTCGGAATGTTATCATTATTTCCTGTGAGGATGTCAGTTTAGTAAAGGCTGGGTGTTGTACATAACAGCAGCACTTAGCAATGAAATACATGAATGTGAACCGCCTTCTCTTTCTAAAATCAATAGCTTGTGACAGATCATATATTTTAACTGAAGTTATTTTAGCCAAGTCGCCTTTAATAAGGTGACTTCAGAAACCACCATGGGTAAAGAAAAGTTCTCATCTCAGAAATTCGCTGGCTTATTCTATATAATGCAATCTTTTTTCCTTAAAATGTCACTTTTCCATCCATTTTATAAACATTTATTAAGCACCAAATATGTACAGCCTAATGGATTCATTATTCCTTTCTCAAAGCTACATTTAAATGCTCCTGTCAACAGACTCAAAATAAAGAAGACAAAAAATGTCATTTAGAGGTCTGCATCCTAATTTAATTTAATCTGGATTTAATTTCCGCAGAGCCACTTAGTCATTTAAAATTATCATGCCTCAATTGCTCTATCTCCAAATTAAAGCTGATTTCTTCTGCCAGCCCAGAACCTGGGTACTCTGTGAGATCCAGCAATGGAATATGTGTATGCTCTGTGTGTTTTCATGAGCAAGTATGGAGAAGGTGAAGCCTGGTGTTCCACAGGGGCTGGAGGTTGGAGGATCACCCACAGCCTGGAGGAATTGGGAATGGGGAGCAGTAGCTCTTCCATATTCTGTTCTCTTGCCTTCCTGGTGACTGATCAGGTGTTCTCTTCTCATTTGAATTCCAGAAGCTGTGAGCTTGTATAAATGATAAAAAGCAATCTGAGGCCAACTGTAATTTTTAAGTTGGGCTATAAAACAGCCTTAAACAAGTTGAGAAATGGAAAGGAATTGGTAAATTCTGTGGTCAGCAGAATTTTAAAATATTCCCTACAACCTTGACCTCTAATAACCTCATTCTCTTTCCCGAGCCAATAAAAACAGACCCTCCTCATAGCTGGTCACTGCAAGGTACCAAAGCCTGTTTGCCTCCAGCTTCTTCTTTGCTCCTGCGCTTACTGTGATTGGCTCTTACATGGGACAGGTGGATGGAAGGGCCTGCAAATCACTGCAAACATTTTGTCAATCCAGCAGGAAAGCTTTTAAGATAGCTGGTGATTAAGCAAATTCAGAGCTTGTGCTAAGTTCTGTATTTACATGGATGTATTTCACCTTTCCTTCCCCCAAACAATTTCTTTTGACTAAATTTACTAATTCAGTCATCCTTTATTGTGCTTTTAAATGGTAGAAATCATGAAATATTTCACAATACCACAAACACTTTAGATTGTTGAGTTCAGACCAGGTGCGGTGGTTCATGCCTGTAATTCCAGCACTTTGAGAGGCCAAGGCGGGTGGATCACTTGAAGTCAGGAGTTCGAGACCAGCATGGCCAATGTGGTGAAACCCCATCTCTACTAAAAATTAAAAAGTTAGCCGAGCATGGTGGAGCATGCCTGTAATCCCACCTACTTGGGAAGCCGAGGCAAGAGAAACGCTTGAACCTGAGAGTTGGAGGTTGCAGTGAGTCGACATCGTTCCACTACACGCCAGCCTGGGCAACAGAGTGAGACTCCATCTCAAAAAAAAAAAAAAAAAAAAGAGTTTCTGTATGTGTAAACATTTAAAATTCTATGATGATTATATTATGGTTCACAATTTGGGGGGCATTCTTTTGTTTTATATATATATATAAAACAAATATATATACACACAAATATATGTATTTTATATATATATTTTATATATATATATATAGTGGGCTATTTCCTGATCCTTATTATTTGATAGCATATCATATTTGATGGTAGCTAAGAACTGCTTTTTAGAAAACATTTATCAAAATGTCTTGATCCATTTCCTCTTTTGAGAATTTTTGAAGTGCTTGTCTACATTTCTACAGAAAATGAATCAAATAAAAGCACAGTTGTCCCCAAAGCACAAGTGCATCATCTCTGAAGTAGCTCTCCTCAGCTGTAAAGGCTGCTGCCCAGTTCTAAGCTCACTGGAGCAGGTTCTGTTTGGGATTTAATTTTGTCTCCCACATAGTGCTCAGCACCATGACCTGCACATAGTAGATGCTCCACTGCTATGTGTTTTATGAATGACCGCTCTAGAATAACAAAACAATAGAGTTGAGCAGTTTTCCAGAAACATCCATGTGAGTGACAGGTGTGGAGGGGCATTCAGCACTGGGGTCATGACTTTGAGCTTCAGGTCTACCTTCCAGCCTTGGCATTGTGCTCTGCTCAGGAACAACAGGACCCCAGCCGGTTGTGCAAGTTCTGAATGTCCAGTCTTATCCCTCAGGAGTGTCGTAGGACTGAATTACAGTTGTAACAGCTGGAATGTGGGTATATGCCACATGTGGATTCCAGAGCGTTAGGCTAGACCAAAGAGCCTGGGCCAGGCTCAGGGCTCAGGCAGGAGGAGTGGGTTGGTTCTATGAAGGAAGAGACAGAGGATGATGATGTCCAAAGGAGCATGACAAGGATGCTGCCGCATGTGGGCGGCTGCGTGGGTCCAGGCAGCAGTAGCAGACAGTGGAATCCACGCCACTTTAGTTTTGAGGTCCATCCCTCATGAAGCTGGATGTAGCCTGCATCCCAGAGTGAGGCAGAGGCATCCAGAGCTGGTAATTACAGCAAGAGGCACTCGCAGAACTCTAAACATCAATAAAAAATCAAACCTAAGCTCACTTTTATTTGAATTACATGTTTGATGTCACAGAAATTCCGGGACCTTACACTTTACTCTTTTAAACACAATTTTAAATGTCAATGTTATTTTACGTTTCATGCTCCTTATAAGACTCTTGTCAACAAGATAGCACATCTTATCAAATGGCCTTTGTTCTATTATGTATCTTGTTTTTTTTTCCTAAAAAATGAACCACCACAAATATATCTCATGGTCCAAAATTGGATCTTTGGACATTTGGCCAATGGTTGCCTGGTTCCTAAAGTCCTCATGAATTTTTATCTTCTGAGTAGAACACTCCTTTTTCCTTTCCCTCCCTCCCTCCTTTTCTTCATCCTTCACTCCTCCCTCCCTCCCTCCCTTCCTTCCTTCCTTCCTTCCTTCCATCCTTCCTTCCTTCCTTCCTTCCTTCCTTGTAGAAATACACTTAAAATAGCCTTAATACATTTTGCTGAACTAAATAGATTTCTTGGGGACTTAATTCTTACAAAAATTTAACACCATCTCTCCAATTCTTTTAAAACATAATAGAGCAAAAATTATCAGAAGGGTGAAGTGTTTCACCAGTGCTTAATATTTAGATATTTAAAGCTGAAATAGTCTTTAGAGACTGTGTCTTTCAAACTCTTCTTTTATGAGGTGAGGAAACTAAGAATTTCTAAGAACAGTTCTCTGGCTTAACCTCCACTGATAGTGCTATGGATGTAACGCACCAGTTCAGAATGAGTCACTGTATTGACCTGTGTCACTCATACTGTATAGGCCCTTTTTATTGACAATGCTATCAGTGACAAGAAGCATTAAGATTTATATAGTCATTCATTGTATCACTTAAATTCTGCCAGGTGTTTGGAAAGCAACTTAGTGATACGTTTCAGGAGCAGTAACAATATTGATGCATTTTTATTTGCTCTGGGGAATGCTTCTGTACAAAGTTGCAGCATTATTTGTTAATACAATAGTGAAAATACTTGAAACTAGGAAAATGAGATAACTTTTTAAAAAAAGATAAAATATGATGTATTCATTAAAATAATAGCTATGAAGGGTATGTAGCGATACAAAAAATATTTATGATATATTTTAAAAAGATACAATATACTAGGCTAACAACTATATATATTGAAAGGCTAGAAAGTGAACACTGAACTATGAAAATACTTAATCTTGTTGGGTGGTGAGATTTTGTGTATTATTTTCTAGTGTGGTGATTTCCATAACTGCCATTTCAATGCCATTTATTCAATAATTTTAATCGGGATTTAAAAATTTTGGTTTCATCTTTCAAAAAACAGCAGACTGCCTTCTCACAATGAGTATGTAAGAGCTGTAGACAGTTCCCGGAAATTCTTGAAGGAGAAAATAAGTCGATTATTTAAAAAAAAAAAAAAAAGTATTCTATTGTTATGCTTATGTCAGGCTTTCTCCATTTTTATGTCTTGTTTTAATTACTAATTTCTTTGTTTTAATTGCTTATTTTAATGACTAAATTAACATCTAAATGAAATGTATTTTCTCTAAGCTGTATCCTTCTTGGTTTTATATAATCATAGATGTAGAATTTGAATTTTTATCTCTGTCTCTAAAAATTAATTAATTCTGACTCCTCACAGAAAGAGACATAAATAGGCAAGTATTATTAGACCCATTCCAAAATAAGAAGAACAAATAATAGGCCTGTTTGTACTACCAGAGGAACTCCAGAATGTGGCTGAGATTAGAACTCGAGACTACTTTCTTTTTACTTCTTCAAATAAACTCCACTGGATACTTGACCCCTGCATCAGTAATTCTCACTTTATTCTATGTCATTTAATTTCTGTTAAGTGCTTTATGCGCTAGTCCTCTCAGCCCTGAAACAGGGTAAATTTGGAAGGAAACAGAAGCCCACTTTCTTACCTCTTTCTCTTTTCTGTTCTGCACAGAGCCCAGTGCACTGTTGAATGGGAAGCACAGGATGTTCTGACAGGTGTCATCTCAGCCAGGAACAGGCTGGCCCCCGGGAAGTGGGCTCAGCCTCGGTTTCAGCTCCTGTTGTCCTGAGTTCACTGACCACTGATAACCAGGACGGTGGCTGCAACTTCAGTGGGCCAGCAATGGCCCATGAGCCATCTCTAATCTGAGGCTGGATTTCACTTAGCATGTCAGTGAAAACCATGAGGGGAAACAGCCGTGTTTTTGTGTACGGTTGAGAGGGCATAAACTGGCAGCTCGTGATGCCCACTGAAATGTTTTGTTTGGCCCACAGAGTGGTTTTTACAAACTAACCCAGATTTCTGGCGTCTCTTGAAAAATACAAAGATCTGGCAGCAGCAAGATCCTCATTTGCTCACAGAGAGCAAAATTTGGCTGGAGCTAAGAGGCAGCTGGCCCCTCAGACAGGACATGGGCCGACCAGCCCTGCAGTGACCCACATTTGCTGACTTCTAACCAGACTGGTCTCTGAGTTTGAAACCCCTTTTAGTTCAGGAACAAAAGGGTGGCATAAGAACTCAATGTCTTCTGCAAGAACGTTGCACATTGTGAGAAATCGTAGCACAAACTGTCTTGGTATTATCTGTATTCATTTCTGTCTGTAAAATTCCCTGGATCCTCTTTGTCCCCCTATGTCATTATTTCATTTTTCTCCTGTGTCTCAGAGGGTCTCTCTCTCTCTTTTTTTTTCTTTTGTCTTTCTTGTCCTACTTTTCTCTCTCCTGCCTTTTCTGTTTCTACTTCTCTTACTACAAGATAGAACAGAAAACAAGTATATTTTACTTACTTTTATTCTAACTTTTACCACATAGACCATGATTTTACTTTTTAAAGTGGATGAGGCTGAGCACAGTGGCTCACGCGTGTAATCCCAGCACTTTGGGAGGCCGAGGCGGGCAGATCACTTGAGGTCAGGAGTTCAAGACCAGCCTGGCCAACATGGTGAAACCCCATCTCTACTAAAAATAAAAAAATTAGTGTGGCGTGGTGGCAGGCGCCTGTAATCCCAGCTACTCAGGAGGCTGAGGCAGGAGAATTGCGTGAACCGGGGAGGTGGAGGCTGCAGTGAGCAGAGAACACGCCACTGTACTCCAGCCTGGGCAACAGAGAGAAACTCCATCTCAAAGTAAAATAAAAATAATAAATAAGTACAGTAGATGAGTATTTATACTTATGTCTTTAAAATATCTGAAAAGAGGCCGGGCGCAGTGGCTCACGCCTGTAATCCCAGCACTTTGGGAGGCTGAGGTGGGCGGATCACAAGGTTTAGGAGCTTGAAACCAGCCTGGCCAATATGGTGACACCCCATCTCTATGCCTGTAGTCCCAGCTACTCGGGAGGCTGAGGCAGACGAATCGCTTGAACCCAGGAGGCAGAGGGTACAGTGAGCCGAGATGGTGCCATTGCACTCCAGCCTGGGTGACAGCGAGACTCCATCTCAAAAAAAAAAAAAAAAAAATTCTGAAAAGCAGTACAGTAGTGGTTTAATCTTTCTGGCCCCAGAGCTACTGTTCCCTGCAGGCTAAGGGCTGTGTACCATCACTCCTCCATCACACGTATACTCTTCAAGTGACAGTCAGGGAAGGCCTTCTCTGTGCAAGGCCCTGACTAGACATGGTGGTGGGTGGATACAGTGATTAATAAAAACAGATTTCTACTCTTATGTAGCTTTCAGCCTGCATATAAAAGAAGTAGTTGTTTTAACATAATATATTTTGCAACGGAGGTATTAATCCAATGTGCAATGAGAACAAGGTGAGAAAGAAAGAGGATTGCTGGGAACTCTAGATAGAGGCTTGCAGAAGGAACATTTCAGCAGTCCTTGAACATGGGAGAAAAGTCGGAAATGGCATAATAGGCAAAATGAAAAGGGTGGATAATTCCACATTTCAGGGGTAGACAGTGCGGTTAGTAGGTTGTTTTGGGAGGGGCTTGAAAAGTTGTGGCTGGAAGGTCTGGGGAAAAGGTGGAGAGAGGTCTTCAGGAAGCTTCCATTGTGTGTAGTCTTTAGTCTGTAGCACATGGAAAGGTGTCAACCAAAATTAAAGCTACTGAAGCAGAAATGATGTAATAAAGGTTTATTGGAAGCCACAGGTGAGAATCGATCTGGGAAAACACACCAACAAAGTTGGACATGTTCCAGAATCTGTTACAAGCCAGAAGGCTTTCATAAGAAAGTTTAGGAGAAGTGAAGGGGACTCCTCATATCAGAGTTGTCCTTTATCATTAAGAGGTACAATAAAAAGGTTCCAATCACTGACAACAGATTGCAACACACAGGCTAAAATGCCTACGTGCAAGACAATCAGTAAAACTTCATGATTCAGAGGCAAATCAGCATCCTTTTCAATGTCAGTAGATCACACAGTAATCAGTACGTCAACAATTTGAAGAGCTCACAGTAAGATTGTTTACTTAGCGACAAGATGACACACAAGACTTCTTCCCCAGGTGACTTAATTTGGAAGTTTGCCAAATGTGACCTGTAGGGTATTATTTCCCTCTTTTGATTAAAAAAACAACAACAACTAACCATGGAAGCATTGATGATCAGTCTCTGCTTACGTTAGAAGGGTAGACATCCTTCTTTCCTTCCTTGGCTCTGCGAAGGCTCATTCCCAAGAAGTCATGTCCCTGAGTGGGGAGAACAAACCTTATCATCGCATGTGGGCCAGGTTGCTAGCAACATGGGGTAGATCATGACACGAGGTTACATGCCAATCTCCTGAATAATGAATCAACCTCCAGTCTCTGGACGATCATTATTTTGGCCTTAACTGTGGAGGCATAGTTTACAAATTCTGGAGAATTCAGGTACAGAGAAAGGTAAATGTTTTAATTTTATTCACAAAAGTATACTTTACCTGATTGTTTTAAAATACAAATAGCTCCTTTATTTATAATTTTTAGAAATATGTTTTGCTATAGTATTGTTATTTTATTTGGAAATAAAGAATGAGTATTATTTAAATTGAACATAACTTTAAGATTGAAAATTATGTAACAATTATTTATAAAAGTTTATCCCATTTATATTTACCTAATTTATTTATTTTTAACAGTTTACCTGGATTGCTCATGAAAACTGAGATATTGGACAAAGTTAGTCATTATTTCAAGTTACTTCCTTGTTAACCATTTTTATGGCCTGTGAATATCAGATGTTCACTTAAGGAAGGAGTTTAGGTTAAATATATGGGTATTTTGCTAATAACTCAGAAGATACAGCTTTTTTTCATTTAACCAACAAGATTAAATTAGTCTTACCCTTCAAAAAATTACACAAAAATCATTCTGGTTTTGGCTGGGCTTGTAGTTCTATAACCTTTGTGCCAAACCCTGACATTTAAAAATATCTAGCAGAGACAAATATAAAATTGTCTTCCAAGTATAATGAGGCAAAAGGGTATGCTGACAATCTTGAAGACATTTCTACTTTTATTTTATCAATAATTTAAAAACCAGCTTGTTTATTAAGGGTTTACTTAAGTCATGTGAACTTGGGAAATATTTGTGTTTACTAATTTATGAATGCTCATTTATTTATGTTGATTTGGTACCAGGTAGACATAACATATAATACATCTAAGTAAGTGTAAACACATCTAAACATACACAAACACAAATAAAGATTGTACAGCTTTCATTTTAGAATTTTAGTTCTTTTTTTTTTTTTTTTTTTGAGACGAAGTTTTGCTCTTGTTGCCCAAGCTGGAGTGCAATGGCGCGATCTCGGCTCACTGCAACCTCCGTCTCCCAGGTTCAAGCGATTCACTGGCCTCAGCCTCCTAAATAGCTGGGATTACAGGCGAGTGCCACCATGCCCGGCTAATTTTTTGTATTTTTAGTAGAGACAGGGTTTCACCATACAAACTCACCAATTTATAAAAGACAGCTGGATCCAAGTTATATTTCTGACAAAATTGGGACCTATTCATATGGCTAAACTTTTTTTGCCCCTATGGGTAATCTAATGAAAGCTACAGACCAAAAGTTTGGGTAAAGCAGTTTCCATGTAAGTTTGATTTTTACAAACTTCTTTTACCATTTTTTATAAGTTTCAAATGAGTTCAATTTTCAATGTTTACATTTTACCTGAAAACTGACCAAATTGCATAACAAAGACAAAATCTCCAAGTAGTCTTGAAATAGTAACAAATCTATCTTTTGTTTGCTGATCTTGTTTGATTAGCAAATGCAGGTGGGGAAAAATTTTTAGCAGTTTCTCTCTTTTTTGGGGGAGGTGGCACTTTTTCCTTTCAGCCTTTGTAGCAGAAAAAGCAAAATTTTTGTGCTAGACACAGATAGATGATTGCTCTGAGCTCAAGATTCTGACTTATTAGACCTGAGGGCCTAACTTTTCTAAACATTTATCTTTTTCTTTTAGATTATTAATTGTTCAATTAAGCATTTCATTTTAATACGAGTGGCTGAATCTATTTTACCAATGCCAGTGGAAGATCGGGATCATAAATGGTCTGGCAAAGCTTACAATAAATCAATTGGTATCATTCATTAGTTTCAGTTTAGAAAAAAACTTGTTGGATCTGTATTTTTATCATCTCAGTAATTTCATTCTCATGCTGTAGTCCTTTCATTTGCTCCTTTTGTTCCAAATTCATACATTTCCCTCTTTTGAGAGAGAAGGAAATGTGTGCATTGTGAAATTCCAAAAATCTCTGCCTAAGAAATGTATGGGAGCTGAGGGAACAAGCAGAGAAGGATGAGGAATGAGGAGCAGTTGGAGGTGAAAGGGACAAAGTCTCTGAAGTCTTTTTCACGGCAGAGATAGTTGCGAATATCCTTTTGTTTACCTCTTGAATGGAGGCAATTTTTTCTTTCAAAATTTTTTATGGAAGCTTCTAGGTGCTATTGGAAGTAAGTCTTCCATTCAATTTGTCTAATTCTAAATCCAGCTTTTTCCAATTGTGTGCCCAAGTAAATCATTTTAGGCATTTCAAAGGGTCCCCATTTTGGGTGTTGCTGCTTATGACCATGCCAAGTTAGGTGGATCCACTTATCTAAGCACTTGCAGGTAAAAGGACCAAAAGTATTGTGCATAAAACCAGCTGGTGTTGATTAGAGGCAGTGCACTGTCAGTCTCAGAAGACCTGCTTTCCATCGTGATTGTTTTGAGTGAGACCAGCTATGTAGTGGAGCAAAAGTGCCCCTCATGCCATCACTAAGGAAAAGTGCTTTCGCCCCAAACCTCCAGGGAAAAATTCACAGAGCTACTTTACCTTGCCCTAAAATTCAAACAAAAACCCTTACCTTGGATTGGTAAGAGGGATACTCGTTCTGAGAAAGACATTGTATTTTCTAGCCAAGGAGAAAGCCAGCTTCAAAAAAATCACAACTTTGACCAAGACGGGAAGTTTGTTGATTTCAGGAAGAACTCATCTGTACCACCCAGCAGGGGCGTCCAAGCTCACAATGGGTTTGTTGCCAGGATCTGCATGAAGGCTGGAAGCTGTGCTGGATGGTCCATGGAGGTCACTCCAAAGCCTACTGGCTACACCATAATGTTGACAGAAATTAAGGCTGAAATAACGTGATAAAAGGTGTATTGGAAGCCAAATGTGAGGATCAGCCCAGGAAGACACATCAACAAAGTCAGGAGTGTTCTAGAGTCTTTAACAAGTTGGAAGGCTTTTATAAGAAAGCTTAAGAGAAGGGAGGGGACTCCTCATATCTGAGTTGTCCTTTTCATTGGAGGGTATGATACAGGGCTTATAATCATTGGCTACGGATTGCAACATACAGGCTGAAATGTCTGTATGCAAGAAAATTAGTAAAACTTCTTGATTCAGAAACAGATCAGCATTTTTTCAATGTCAGTAAGTCATACAAATAATCAGCCACATCAACAATTTGAGGAACTCAAGGTAAGATACTTTACTCAGGGACAAGATGTCACCATGCATCACAAGACCTTCCCCCAGGTGGGTTAGAATTTTTGAGCTGGTTAGAATTTAAAGCCACCGTGCTTTAGGAAAATAACTGTAACCAATAAGAAAGGGGTTTGTAGAAGGTAAAGATTATAAACAAAACATCGACAGTGGCTGCTTCAAGTCCAGGTGAATGTGATGGAGGTCTTAAATTAAGGCAGTGGCTTTGAAGACACAGGAGAAGTTGGTTTAAGTTACATCACAGGAGTAGAATTGATAACACTTGGCTTCACTTTGTGTACAGGCAGATGGGATTAAACAATAGTCTATGTTGTCTGGGGTTTTTCGAGACTTGCTCATGGGTGGAGAGATGTCAAATTCAGAAACTGAAATGGGGAGAGAAACAGATTGTGAAGTAGAAAACCAAAGCCACTTTGAGGAATAAGCTACTGCAAGGTATATGCAGAGTTCATTAACTAATAGTTGATATTTTGAGTGCTTACGGTGTGACTAAAGAATCCTAAACACTCTACGTTCATTATCTTACTTAACCAAAATCCTTAGGAACTCTGTGAGCTTCAGTACTTTATTATTATTTTAAAACTCAGAAAAAAGAGGTTAAAAAACCTTTTACTAAGTCACACAGCTGATAGCTGATAGTCCTGAGAGCTGAAGTCAGCTTTGTCTAGTTCCAAACTAAATTATTTCTAGACTGCATACATAATCCAGCTGTAGCCTTGGTCGCTGCAGTTATAAGATAGGGCTGAGGCCGCCATTCCATTACTGAGAAGGAAGCCACCGCTTCAAACACTGTGTTCATATCTGTGAGTCCATCATTACATATCACGTGGTTACTCCTGGAGGCCACTACATTTGCCCTAAAATGAAGACTAGAGATGCAAAACATTGAGTCAGTTTAGCCTAATGCCAAAAAAAAAAAAAAAAAAAAAAGTGCTGACACAGCTGAGTCCTGGGGAACGATCTGTTTCAAGGTTAGAGAGAACCGAGCTGTAAACCATCTGGACGCTTTTTCGATGTGGCTATTTAATCATCTTTCCACTCTGCTCTATAGCATCTATGTTTTCAGGTTTTCTCTGACTCAGTAAATGCAGTGCTGGGAGCAGCACCCGAGTCTGTCTGATTCAAAATTAAATTATTCTTAGGTGAATTCAGGGCCCAGAGGCAGGCTGTGGCCACTATCATTAACATTATCGCCAGGCCCAAGGGTTCTGTCTTTCTCATTGACCAGGAAGGGAGAATACAATCATCTATTTATGTTAAATTTGATGTGTGCACCCACAGAGTTGCACATAGCATCCTCCTGTAACAATCTTTTCAGTATTTGTCTTTTGTTGATCATTACTCATCTTGTATATTTAGGGTTTTTTTTCATTATGAGTTTCATGAGGAGGTTGTATTCAAAAAAGCCTCTGGGTATATTTATGCTTTCTACCATTCATTTCCCTTCCATTACTTGACAAATTGGGGGCATTCTATCATTTTATATCTCTTTTTTCCCTAACAACCACCTTTTCTTCTCTGCATTTATTATCACATATGTATTTATCTACTACAGGAAAAACAAACCAATCCTTTAGTTAGATATGTATCTCCTCAGAAACATGCCTAGAATTTTATATAAATGGGATCATCATACATGTAGACCAATATTTTTAAAGTCAGCATAATGTTATTTAAACTTGTGTTATTGATATAACTGGTAGCCCCAGATAATGCAAAAGGTGAAATACTGTATATACCCATCTCTCTAGTAAGTATAAAAGTTATGAGCAAAATATTAACAAGTGGAGTTCAGCTGTGTACCAAAATCATAATATGCTAAAGTCAGGTTTAATGATTACAACAGCATTTAAATATCAGGAAATCAATCAACAAAATTTATTAGAACTACAAAATGATAGAAAAATCCTTATGATTAAGTCACTAGGTGCTGAAAAAGGGATCTGATAAAGTTTATCAACAGCTCCTAATAAAAATCCTTGCTAATGTAAGAATAAATAATTGCTTAAATATGCTAAAGGTTGTTTACCAAGAACCAACCATCAGTGAAAACCATTCTAAATGACAAACAATAAAACCATTTCAATTATAGCCAGGTATCAGGCAAGAATACTCACCATCACCATTAATATTTAATATGTTCTTGAAGAAAGTGCAACCAAACCAAATGATTCAAATAAGAACTAGAAAATAGAAGAAAAAAAGACAACTTTTTTCTCATAATAGAATTTTATTTCTGAAAAACCTAACATATATTAGTTTTAATATACACCATGGAATACTATGCAGCCATAAAAAATGATGAGTTCATGTCCTTTGTAGGGACATGGATGAAGCTGGAAACCATCATTCCCAGCAAACTATTGCAAGGACAAAAAACCAAACACCACATGTTCTCACTCATAGGTGGGAATTGAACAATGAGAACACTTGGACACAGGAAGGGGAACATCACACACCGGCGACTGTTGTGGGGTGGGGGAAGGGGGGACGGATAGCATTAGGAGATATACCTAATGCTAAATGACGAGTTAATGGGTGCAGCACACCAACATGGCACATGTATACATATGTAACAAACCTGCATGTTGCGCACATGTACCCTAAAACTTAAAGTATAATAATAATAAAATAAAATTTAAAAAAATCCAAATGTCAAAAAAAACTAATAAGAACATATCTTAATATGGCTAAATACAAGAAATATATTATGAAATCAATAGCTTTTCTCTTCACCAATATAAATACCTTGAAGTGAAAATGGAGAAAATATTCCATTCACAATAAGAACAAAAATATAAAAAGACTTCAAATAAATCTGACATGAACTCCAGAAGATTGAACAAAGCAAACTATAAGATCTTGTTAGAAATTTGAAAACATTAAAAAAATTGTATAATATTAAATAAGAAAACAATATTTAAAATGTTAATTATTTGAAAGTTGATATCAAACTTTAACACAATCCTAATTAGAACTCTGAAACTGCTTTAGTGTAAACATTTTGCAAAATGATCTTGATTGTCATATATAAGAATAAACACCTTTGTGTAGCCATGAAGCATTTCAAAATGCATAGTAATGTATACTCTTTTACCTGCAGTGAAAACACACAAGAACGACGTTATATTCAACTCAATGACAATAATAGCTAACGCTTTGAATACTTATTATGTACCAGGTATTGTAATTACTTTATTAAATTTGTGTATCAATTATGAGGTAGGTACAAATATTATCTACACTTTACAGAGGCATAAAAAATTGAGAAATTTTCAGCATCTCTCATAGTGAATGGTATAAACAGGATATGAATCACAGTCTGTCTGAATCCACAGTCCAAGCTTAAAACTATCAAATTTTGCATAGAAGTAGCAAAGAGAGTGCTGAAAAACTGGAGAATTTGAAAGAAGCTTCCAATATAAACAAGTATTTGACATGAGAAACACTAGGGATAGGGTGACACACTTAGAACACAGTGCTGGCATAACTAACTCTTCATCTACAAAGATGTAATGTAAGTCTCATTGTACAAATACACAAAATTACGTTCCAATTGGATTAAAGCCTTAAATGTTTTTAAAAGTCTATAATTTGGTTTCATAAAAAGAGAGAAATTTTTAATCAAAATAGGAAATCCTGAAGCTATAAAAGATAGCCATATTTAATTTGCCATATATGATTTTAAATTTTAATTTTAAGAAAGGCAAAATTAGTAGACAAACAATGGAAAATATTTACAATCCAGGTAACAAGTAAAAGGAGTATATCTACAACTGATAAGGAATTCTTCCAAATTGAGCACAAAAAGACAAATAAATAATAGAAAATGAACAAAAATATTTTAGAATTAGCTCAATCAAGCCTGAAACCAAGGCCTGCTTTGTTTGGGAAATTGATACATAGAGCAAACGTTCAGGAATGTGTTAGATGTTTTTTTGCATTCACTATTGGCACTTGGTGAGAAGGTAGACCTGCAGCTCAAAATTTGTACAACTGCTACAGGATCCCTTGAATTTGTAACAGGGCCACTCGTTCTGAGAAAGACATTGTATTTTCTAGCCAAGGAGAAAGCCAGCTTCAAAAAATCACAACTTCGACCAAGACGGGAAGTTTGTTGATTTCAGGGAGAACTCATCTGTAGCACCCATCGGGGGCATCCAAGCTTATCCACCAGATAAGTGGAGCCACCTAACCTGGCATGGTCACAAGCAGCCAAGTCCAAAATGGAGACTGGGGTGGTCAGAAATGCCTGGAATCACACCTAACCATGGCAGTGGTGAGTTTCTCAAAGAGAAAACAAATTCTCACTGTCTCCGGCAGCATCGTTAGCAATTGACCCTCCATCAAGGAATGTGACCCGGACTAATTTCTAAGTGTAAAAGTTGCATTCTTTGCTGGTTTCTTTTGGTGTTATTGCGTATCAGCCCCACTGTTGCCACTCTTGTAACAGCTGAGGATGTAATCATTCATTTCTTCAGCAAACATCTAGGGAGCATCTCTATTATAACCCAGTCACCGTTAGGCACTGGGAATAGAACCGTGGCAAAACAAACTAAAATTTGCTTCTTGGCATCTGGTCCTGGCCATGAGACTATAAGAGGATTGGAATTACCCTCCTAACATAAACAACTATAAAATGGGATAAAATGTGGAGAGAAAAATCAGTTTTCATGTATTGGACAGCAGGCAGTGCACAGCTGTGATCCCCGAGAAAAGAAAAACAAATGAATGAACCATGCCATCCCGTGGGCTTTCTGCGTGAATGCTGTACTGCAGCACGAAGGGGAAAAATTCAAGACCTGCAGTCTTGCCAAGTTAAGAAGACAGAAGTCAGAGTTCAAGAAAAGAAGATGGCTACAGTTTATGAGATGGAGTACCCAAAAGGAGGAAACTAGAGAATACTCACAAAATCTATTTAAGTAATTCCTTTTAATGGCAAAACCACAATTACTTTATTATTATTATTATACTTTAAGTTCTGGGGTACATGTGCAGAATGTGTAGGTTTGTTACGTAGGTATACACGTGCCACAGTGGTTTGCTGCACCCATCAACCCATCACCTACATTAGGGATTTCTCCTAATGCTATCCCTCCCTTTACCCCTCCACCCCCCCACAGGCCCCAGTATATGATGTTCCCCTCCCTGTGTCCATGTGTTCTCAATGTTGAACTCCCACTTATGAGTAAGAACATGTGGTGTTTGAAAAACCGCAGTTACTTTTGCACCAGCCTAATACATAGATTTCCCTTTGAGACCTCGGTTAATTATTGACCTTTATATGTGAATAATGAAACACCAAAAGGCAGAACAAAATAAAACTCCAAGGAAATAACAATTACAGAACTCTGTTAGATGAAGTATTCCCAGAGCTCATATATTGTCAGGAATTATTTAAGTTTATTCTAACCATGAGACATTAAACAGAGACCCCAGGAAAGTAGTTTCTTAGGATGAGGTTCAATTAGCACTCAAATATAGTCATGTGTCACATAATGGCATCTTAGTCAACAATGGATGTAGGACATTGGTCCCCTAAGATTATAATATCATATTTTTATTGTATCTTTTTTATGTTTAGATATTTTTAGATATACAAAAATTACCGCTGTGTTACAACTCTCTACAGTTTTCAGTAGAGTAACATGCTGTACAGGCTTGGAGCCTTGGAGCAATAGGCTATGCCATATGGCCTAGGTGTGGAGTAGGCTGTACCATCTAGGTTCGTGTAGGTACTTTCTGTGATGTTTGCACAATGGCAGAATCGCCCAATGGTACATTTCTCAGAACATATCAGATATATTGTTAAGTGATGCATGACTAATGGCCACTATGGAATAACCCTTAAAACATCTTTTTTAAAAACCTTGAATAAGTCAGGTTAATCCACAAATAATTAATTGCCTGTCATAAAAAGTCCAATATTCTTTGAAGGAAAACAAAAAGTCCTAAATTCAACAAGAGAGAATTAAAAATATCTGGTGTTAATTTAAAAATAAAACATGATATATGCAAAGGAGCAGGGAAATGTGACTCCTAATGAGGAGAAATATCAGTTGATAGAAACAGAACTCCTGATAACAAAGATAAGGGAATTAGCAGAAAAACACATGAAAACTGCTAAGATAAATGTATTCCAAATGCTCAAGGCTATAAGGAAAACCATGAACATGATGATAAGAGAAATTAAAGATTATAAGACACCCAGATAAAATTTCCAGAGATTAAAAAAAAAAAAAATTCTCTAGATGATCACCAGGTTAGATACCACAGAAGAAAAAAAAAAAACCCCTAAATTGTAAGCAGTAGCAATAGAAAACTATTTAAAACCAAGAACAAAGAGAAACTTGAAAAAAAAAAAAGCCTGAACAGCATGTCAATAAGCTGTTGGACAGTATAAAGTAGACTAATATACCTGTCATTAAAGTTCCAGAAAGTGAAGAGAGAAAAGAAGATAAAACAAACTTTTGAAGAAATAATGACTGAATTTCTTCCAAATTTGGTAAAGAACTCAATAAACTCCATAAAGAAAATAATAACAAAGAATATGATAATCAAGTTACTTAAGATGAGTGACAAATAGAACATCTTAATGGCAGCCAAAGGAGCGAGACGTGTTTGGAAGAACAAACCTAAGAAAACAGCTGACTCTTCAACAGAGGTGCTGCGAGCCAGAGGACATTGGAATGAGATCATTTAAAGTGCTGGGAGGCATAAAACACTGTCAGTCTACAGTTCTACACACCACAGAAATATCTCTCAAAAATAAACATTAAGAATTTGTATAGGCCCAGCTACTCAAGAGGCTGAGGCAGAAGGATCCCTTGAGCCTAGGAGTTTATGGCTGCAGTCAGCTATGATCACACCACTGCACCCCAGCCTGGGCAACAGAATGAGACCTTTTTCTCTTAAAAAAAATAATATATATAGATATATATATAAAGATATAGATATATATAAGATATATATAAAGATATAGACATATATAAACATATATATATAAAGATATATATTTTCAGAGAAAATCAGACAGTATTTATTGGCCATAAACCTATACTATGAGAAACTTAAGGGAAGTTCTTTGGAGTAAGAAAAATTACACCAGATGAAAAGTTACATCTACATGACAGAAGGAGGTGTGCCAGGAATGATAAATGTTGTCAACATATGGCCAGGTTTTGGGTGGAAATTTTTGTAGAATTAGTTAACTAGTTCTTTAAAATATCCTTCCTTTTCTCAAAGGGTCCTTTAAATATAATAAAATATGTCCAGCTCCTCTGAATGTAATCTCATGTAAGACTTCTGTCTGAACCTTTGTCCTGCTCTAAACACTGACATGGAAAGTGAAAATATAAACACATAAAACCTTTGGAACATGTTAGAACTTTCTTGGACAATA
The DNA here is from genome assembly GCF_000001405.40 of Homo sapiens. NCBI lineage: Eukaryota > Metazoa > Chordata > Mammalia > Primates > Hominidae > Homo > Homo sapiens. The sequence continues at coordinate 138,046 of NW_012132919.1, forward strand.
GTGGCAATAATAAATCTGATCTAATATAGGGTGGACTATAACTGACAGTTTAAAGGACAGATTTCCTATATCATTATGCCTACAAGCTCCCCTTAATACTCCTGGAGGATTTTATATTTTGTTTAAAAGGAAAGATCCAATTATAAGCTATCTATGTTATCTAATTTTAATATAAAGACATAGATTAAAATTAAGTGAATTTTAAAGCTGGGCATGGTGGCTCATGCCTGTAATCCCATCACTTTGGAAGGCTGAGACTGGCAGATTACCTGAGGTCAGAGTTCGAGACCAACCTGGCCAACATTGTGAAACCACATCTCTGCTAAAAATATAAAAGTTAACCAGGTATGATGGTGGGCGCCTGTTATCCCAGCAGCTCGGGAGGCTGAGGCAGGACAATCGCTTGAACCCAGGATGCAGAGGTTGCCGTGAACTGAGATCATGCCACTGCACTCCAGCCTGGGTGACAGAGTGAGACTCCGTCTTAAAAAAAAAAAAAAAAAATGAAATGGATTTTAAGAGATATACCATCCAAACCCTAGTCAATGAAAATCTTGAATGGCTATATTAATATTAGATAAAATAGACAACAAGGAATATTACCAGAAATAAGAAGAAATATTTCATAATGATAAAGGAGTAAGTTTATTAAGAAGACTTAAGAATCCTAAAGATGTATGCAGCTAGCATTGAGCTACAATATTTGAAGCAATAATTGGTTGAACCAAAAGAAGAAATAGACAAATCCATAATTTAAGTTGTAGATCCCAACAATCCTCTCTGAGTAATTGATAGACTATGTAAAAACATTTAATAAGGATACGGAAGTCTTGAAAACACTATTAACCAAGTCAACCGAATTGACATGTGTGCATCACATCACTCATCAATAGAAAAATGCACATTCCTCTGAGTGCACGTGAAACATTCACCAGAGTAGACTATATGCTGGGCCATTAAACAAGTCTCAATATATTGCAAAGGATGGAAATTATACAAAGTATGTTCTTTAACAGAAACAAACTAGAAATCAATACCAGAAAAAATATCTGGAATGTATCTTGATAATTGGAAATTGAACAACATATTTCTAAATAACAAATCAGCCAAAGAAGAAACTGAATGTATTTTAAGTGAATGAAAATAAAAGCAATAATATCAAAATTTACGGTATGCAACAAAGCAATACTTAAAGGGGAATTTATATCTTTAACTGTTCATATTAGATCTCAGCTTTCACTTCAATAAACTAGGAAAAAAGATTTAAAACCCCAAGTACACAGAAGAATAGTTAGGAGCAGAAATCAACTACACAGAAAACAGAAAAATGTTAGAAAAAATGACCAGCTGTTTTTTGGAAAAGATCAATAAAATCAATCAAGAGCAAAGATAATGGAAAAAAAATCAGACACCAAGCAAACATATTAATAATTTGGACAATATAAATGAAACAGAAAAGTCCTTGAAAGACACAAAGTATTACAGTTCACCAGTTAAGAAATAAGTAACCTGAATACCTGGATATTGGTGTAATAAATTGAATTCGTAGTTTAAAAGCCCCACATATTAAAACTCAAGGCCCAAATTGATTCACTTGATCAATTCTACCAAACATTTATGTAAGAAATAGTACCAATTCTGCACAAACTTATTAGACAAATAGAAGAGGAGGAAGATATATTTCCAAAATTCATTTCTTAGGGCAGTATTACCCTGAAATAAAAACCAAACAAAGAAGTTAAAAGAAAATAAAACCACAGATGACATTCCCTCATGAACACAGATGCAAAAATCCTCAACAAAATATTAGCAAATTGAGTCCAACAATATATAAAAAGGGGTAATACATCACGGTCGAATAGCTTATCCCAGCATGCAAGGTTGGTTTAACATTAGAAATCAAACAATGTAATTTACCATATTGACAGATTAAGACTAAAAAAGCAAAATAACATAATCATCTCAATAAATGCAGAAAAAGCATTTGAGAAAATTAAACATACATTCATTATAAAAACTCTGAGCAAACTAGAAATAGACAGGAATATCTTCAACCTGATAAAAGATATCTATTAAAAATACCATAAATATCATACTTAATGGAGAAGAATGAAGGCTTTCTCCTCAAGATTAGGGAAAAAAGCAAGGCTGTTCACTCTCACTACTTCTACTCAGCATTATACTAGCAGTTCTCTAGAGTGCAATAAGGCAACCAAAAGCAATAAAAAGTGTCTAGATAGAAAAGAAAGGAAATACCTATATACACAGGAAATATGATTTTGTAGAAAATTCTAAGAAATATACAGAAAATATCTACCAGAACAAATAATTACATGTATCAATGCTACAGAAAATAAGGTCAGGATACCCAAATGAATTTTGCATATTAGCAATAATCAATTAAATATTTAAATTAAAATATACATGTACTTTTATATGTACAAAGCATCAATTATAGTACATCCTTGGGAATAAATTTACAAAATATGGGCAAAATCTGTATTCTGAAAACTGCAAAACATTGCTGAGAGAAATTAAAGATTAAAACCATCTTCCTTTCAAGGTGTTTACACTCTAATGAAGAAAGCAGGCAATATTTAAGATAAATAGGTTAAAAAATATAAAATATGTATTAATATGATTAGACCTAGAGAAACAAATCAGAGAAAGGGGTATAAAAAGTCGGAGGCAAGGCAGTTAATATCTAGATATATTAGCTATTGAAGGACATGGAAGGCCTCACTTAGAAGGTGACTTGAGATAAAAGCCAAAGAAATGAAAGGTTGAGAGCATTTCAGGCAGAAGAAAGAGGAGTTGCAAAGGCCTTGAGAATGGCATGTGCCTGGCTTGCTTTAGGATGGACAGAGACTGGCGTGGCTGCAGTGAAGCAGATGGGACTGAGGGGAGAATACTGGGAGATGGATGCAGAGAGCTAAGAGGGAACTAGGTCCAGCAGGGCTGCCTGGTCAGTCAGGACTTTGGCTTTTCCCACAGGTGAGATGGGAAGCTGTGGGAGGGTTTCCCAGGGGAGCGATGTGATTTACATATTTGAGAGATGGCCCTGGCCGCCTGGGAAAGCAGGTAGAAGGCCACTGCAGTACCTCAGGAAAGAATGCACATACCTTAGACAAGGGTAATGGTGGTGGGAAAGAGAAGAAATGGTTCCAAACCTATTTTGAAGGTAAACCAATGGTATTTTCTGACCACCTAGATGTAGGGTGTGTAAAACAGAGGGAAAGAGAAAAGATAGCCAAGAGTTTGACCTAACAACCAAGCTAATGGGGTTGCCACTATCTGAGAAGAGGAAAAAGGTTACAGGAGCTGGAGGTGTGGGAGTGGAGTAGAAGGGTCTCAGCTTATTCCCATTGACTTGAGGTATCCATTTGACACTCAAGTACAGATGTCAGGGAGGCAGTTGGCCAGACAAGCCTGAAGTTCAAGGTCAGGTCCAGTGCGGGTTCAGGTGGTCTGGGCTGGAGACATGAATGTTGGAATCCTCAGCCAGACTGCGCATGGTTTTTAGAACCATGAGACTGGATAACACCACCTAGGAAGTGAGGAGATCCAAATATCAATCCTTGAGCACTCCAACATTCAGAGCTCAAGAAAACAAGGAGAAGCACAAAATAGCATGAAAAGAACCAGCGAGGGAGGTAGGAGAAAAGCAGGTGATGAGTGTCCGGGAAGCCAGGTACAGTCAGGGCTTCGAGGAGTAGAGAGACTGGTCATCTGTGTCAAGTAAGAGGACAGCTGAGAAATTATGACATTTAGCAAAGTGAGTCTCTGATAACCTTGAGAAGAGTAATTGTGGTTGAGTGGTGGGGGTGAGAGCATGACAGGCAGGAGTTTAAGAATGAATAGGAGGAGAAAAATGGAAGCATGGAGAATATTTTCAAGGGGAAGTAGACAGACAGTTTTCTAAAGATAAAATCAACATTGTCTAAAACGTGGATAGTAAGGATCAAATGTATCCATAAGCAGGGAAACAAAAACTAATGAGGCATGTTTACATCTACAGGAGGGTCAAAATTGGAGAAAAAACACCTTATGCTTCCAGAGAAGGGAAGAAAACATGCATTCATACATCTGTAGTGGGAGTGCACATTCCAAAAACATTTTTGAAAAAGAATTTGGCAATACCTATTTAATTTTAAAATTTGTAAACTGTTCACTTCACCCGTGGATATCTATTCTATACAAAAATGTGAAAACCACACATATATCAACAAAGACATAGATTGGGATCTTCATTACAACATTGTTTATAGAAAGAGCTCACTAGAAATGCTTATAATCTATCCTCATTATTCACAGCTTCTATATTTCCAAATTCAACCATGTGATAAAGTGTACCTGTGAGCCCCAAGGTGATAATCACAGCACTTTTGCCATCGTTCTCAGGCATAGTGGCAGAAGATTCGAGTTGTCCAATGTTGGCATTCCCAACTGCAGCAGAACAAAGCACTATTCTGCTTTCTCATTTCAACTTTCATGCTGTGAACAACTGTCCTTTTCTGTTGTTCTATTTGGTGCTCCATTTTTTTGCATGTTTGTAACTTACACTGGTGATCTCACTGTTGAAAGTGGGTCCCAGGCATAGTGCTGAAGTACTGTATAGTATCACTAAGGGCAAGAAGGCTGTGAACGCCTTATGGAGAAAATGCATCTTTGAGATAAGCTTTGCTTAGGCACAACTCATGGGTTGTTGGCCATGAGTCCAATGTTTATGAATCAACAATATATATTCAATAAGGTGTCCTTAAAAAGAAAGACACATAAAACAAGGTTATCTATTGATCATTTGACTAAAATGTTTAGACTAGAGGTTCAAAGGAAGCTAACGTTGAGTCTCTCCTAGAAGCAATGGTTCAGTATCCACTAGTTGCACATGAACTAGTGTTCATGATGACTTTATAGAACAAAGCAACCATAAATAACAGGAATGAATTGTCTCCCTTTGTTGAGAATTGTGTGAGTAAATTAAAGTATATCCCAAGGTGTGCACCATGTGATATTACGAGCCCTTTAAAGATCACTACTCAATCAAAGGAACCCAAGTCCTTGGAGTCATTTCCTTAAGGTACTGTTGCATGAGAAAACTAAGGTGCAGAGGACCATAATATGATGTCACTTTTTTTTTCTTTTGGAGATGGAGTGTCGCTCTTGTCGCCCAGGCTGGAGTGCAATGGCGCGATCTCGGTCCGCCACAACCTCTGCCGTCCAGGTTCAAGTGATTCTCCTGCCTCAGCCTCCTAAGTAGCTGGGATTACAGGCATGCACCACCATACCCAGCTAATTTTGTAATTTTAGTGGAGACGGAGTTTCTCCATATTGGTCAGGCTGGTCTCGAACTCCTGACCTCAGGTGATCCACCCGCCTCGGCCTCCCAAAGTGCTGGGATTACAGGCGTGAGCCACTGCGCCCAGCCAATGTGATGTCATTTCTAACCTTTGTCATCTCTCTCTGATTTCATGTGGTTGCCTGAGCATGCATAGAGTGATGTCCACCAAGTCAGCAATGTGGGCTCTGGGGGTGGGTGTGGGTATCTGTGGAGCAATGTGCTTGCAGTGCAGAGGGCAGGGGCAATTAAAAGAAAACAGCACAGTTGATGGTATCATTTATGTCGGATGATGTTTGTACTATGAAGAAATTTGAAGGAAAAAGTCACAGTTAGTCTTCTATGTACTGACTTGTAGGGATGACCATGTTGGAAAAAGAGCAAGTTGCAAAATAATGTGTGCAATGTGATTCTATTCTAGTAACAACTCTGCTTATTATATGTGTCTTAGAATTAGTGAGAAAAAGGTTTCTAAACATATCAAGAGGTTGAGAGTTTTGTAGAAAAGTTTGCTTTTTAACGCTTATTTCTTTTTCTTTTCTTGCTCTCTCTATTTTTTTTTCTGAGATGGAATTTCACTCTTGTTGCCCAGGCTGGAGTGCAATGGCCCAATCTTGGCTAACTGCAACCTCTGCCTCCCAGGTTCAAGTGATTTTCATGCCTCAGCCTCCCAAGTATCTGGGTCTACAGGCATGCACTACCACACCTAGCTAATTTTGTATTTTTTTTCTTTTTTAGTAGGGATGGGGTTTCACCATGTTGGCCAGGCTGGTCTTGAACTCCTGACCTCAGGTGATCCACCCACCTCGGCCTCCCAAAGTGCTGGGATTACAGGTGTGAGCCAGTGCACCCAGCCTTTAATGCTTATTTATATTGGCTTGTCTCAGTAAGTCCAATAAGTATGTTTTGTTGAAATTTGAAAAAAAATACAAATAAAATATGAAAAAACATCAATTAGCTAAATATTATTCAGCTAACAAAGAAAGGATATAGCCATTTTAATAGCTAATTAATTTTGAAAATGGCACCAGCAGATACAATTTTATTATAAGATTCTGACTTGTTGTATGTAATGCTTTAAAATTCTTTGTCTATTTTTTCTTTTAGGAATCATTAAGAGCCATCAGATATGAAATATCTCCAGATAGAGAGTATGCACTTTTTTCATACAATGTGGAACCCGTGAGTATTATCCTTTACTGCCTACAAAATAATTGTTTCTTTATTCTAATATCTCATTAAGTATATTTCCTTGACTCTTCTATACTTAGTGATCTTTGAATCCAGAAATACTTTGTACATCCTGGAAGTCTCTTTTGCATATCATACTGCCACCTAGGAGAGAGGAAAGGTATAAATATCTGCTTGGCAGGGGAAAAAAGTCACATACTTTAGAGGCTCTTTCATAGACTTTTCTTAGGAGGATGGTAAGAACTTGTCTCTTCATAGACACAAATCTTGCCCTTTTGTGCAATTATTTTTCTGGCTGTTTTCTCAGTGAAATAATAGATTTTATCCTAAGAACAAAAAGCAACTGCCAGGTTCTCCTTAAACTGAAATAATATGTTAATTATCTCCTGGTCATTGTAGTGTTCTAGTGAAGAGCTGAAGCTATCACTTCCACTATTTAAATGCCTATTTTTAGCACTTCCTGTATATATGAGCCTCCCATAAAATTTCACCAGAATTTTCTGTAAAATCTCACTGTGTATTAGTAGCAGTGTAAAACTTCCTAGGCCAGGATCTTCCTTCTTCTTCTTGTTTTTTCATTTGACATGCTCGTATTTCAAATTTCATTTTGGCTCTTTAATTTTAAATAGTTGGAAGGTGAAGTTTATTTGTATAAGTGGAGAGGATGTTCAGTTTACAAGAGATAAGCAACTTTAGAAATGTATGTTTTAAGAACTTTCCTCTCTGGCAAATAAGATATAGAGTCTACTACTGCCTCCCTGGCATTTCTGAGACCATTTGAAATAGAGTTTCCTGGTGCTTCTGTGAGGTGTAATGACTCCTGCATTTTAATTCAGGTCAGAATGGCTCTGTGGTGAGTTTGAGAGAATCTTTTCTGGCATGAGACAGTCAAGCTTTTTGGTTTATATCCACTGGGAAAGCTGGGGTATTGGTTTGTATGAAGATGCAAGTTCAATTCTGAATTCTTAAACTTTCTTTTAGAAGTTGATTGGACAACTGGATTACTGGAGATTTCAACTTTATTCTTCCAACTGTAGATTTTTTTGGACTCTGTTTCAGTCTTCCATTTTTCTATTTTTAAATGTCCATTCTATAAAGGTTTTCATTTTTTCCATCCAAATTCTTTGAAACAATGGGGCATCTTTGTCTCTTTGATTGGGATCAGTTGGTGAACTTGACATTCTAAAAGGCTTGGGACTCTGCATTACCTAGACACAGCCTTAAACTTGCCTCTTTCAGCCTCAGGCACCTGGATGTGATGTTCACGGGTCATAGACCATTTCAGCTTCCTTCATCACCCTTGAAAACCACCAGAAATACAATCTCCACACCTGTATAAAAGAAAAATGTTAGCAGATATTTGAAAGCCTTACATGGATGTGTTCTGGTTTGCCCCAGGAGGCACAGCTAACACCTGAGTGAGAAAAGCCTAGAAAGACAAATTGATTTCAGGTTATCCTCCTAGAGAATCTTTAATCATCGGAGCACCCCGACAGTGGGATGGAGGTAATGAGCATTCCGTTCCCAGAAGCCTCAAAACAAAGTGAGGTATTGTTCTCCGGAATGTGACAGAGGGGTTCCCGCAGCCGTGTGATCGGAAGAGGCGTGCTCTAGTCAGTGGTGCTGTGGTTCTGTGCATGATACAATTCTCCACCACTTTCTTCGGCTTCCCAGCGCTCTGTTTGGAAGAGTGCCCTGGGATCCCATTGAACCAGAAACCATTTTGATAAAGATCATTTTGCTAAAGATGAGTCTTCACCATGTGGAGCACTGGCTGTAAACAGGAACCTTGAAATAACCCTTTCTCACTGGGCAGCATCTGTCGGTGTTTGGAGTAAGACTCTTCAGTTTGTCTTCTCAACTGAAGGAAAACCTAGGAAGTTTGAAGTGTATTTACAGAACTATAAAAATGATAAAATTGAAAATGTAAAAAGTCTATAGAAACAGATATTTTAAGTTGAATAAAATAAGTAATCCTTAATAGTTTTCAGCACTGAGCAGTTACTGTATACATGACTATTCAAGCAAGTATTCTCTGTTCTTCTGGAGGAAAAATTATAAGGGAAATTATAACCTATAGGTTATGAGTAGTGTGTCTTCTCTCTGAACTCCTTAGCGCTATACCAAGATACAATCCAAGTTCTTGAAATTCTATCAAATCCACAAAATATGTAATAAAAGGATTACATATGGGATTCTGCATGAGAATTTGGAGTTAGATATTAGGAAGATCTTCCTAACTAGATAAACTAAAATGTAAGTAATTTTAGAAAAGGGAGGGGTAAATTTCAAAGGAAGAGTCTAGGTCTGTGATTCTGGAATAAGTGGAATAGACCAGGACTTCCTAATCAGTATTTAGTATCAGTAATTGTTATTGCTAGTATTGTATTAATAGTATAATCAATTAAAAATATTATCCATTGGTATTCTTTAAAAACAATTAAAGGTTCCATATTCAAATACATTTGAGAACTCTAGTTAAACAGATAAGTTTCTTGAAGTTCCTGATATTCTCATGTTGGTTACATAGTACTTCCCAAGTGGGTATTACAACATGTGATTCCAATCTAATTATAATGAAACTAGAATTTGTTATTTGGATTCATGCTCAACATATTCTTATGTGTGTATCTCAAAGGCAGCTAGTGTAACTTGTTTATATGAACCAACTCAACTTTTCATTAAAAAGACTATCATAAAATTGTTTTAGTGTAAACCAACTGTCCAATTACTAGATATCTGTCATTTATTTCAGTATATGTTTCATTTGCAATAAAATTTTGGTATATTGGGTTACCACTGCACTAAAAAAAAAAAAAAATCCTACTATCCCACATTTCGTCAGGATAATTATAATCTCTTCAATCTCTGCTTCTCTTTGTTGCCTGCCCAAAGATACTGGACTTGGAAGTCAAATAATCATAGGTTCAAGGGCTCATTCCGATGCTCACCAGCTATGTTTGCTTGAGTAACCCACTAAACCTTATGCACTGCATCTTGGAGCCATCTTCCTGGGTGACCCTGGGCTTCTGTTTCTCAGTGGTGAAGGGCGACCCAATGAATGTCAGCTCTCCTACACTTCCAGGGTATATGTGTTTGAGCACAGAGTAGTTCCGTATGTATACCCAGGGCCAGATTTAAGGCTCTATCCAATTTCATTGGAATGGAGTTGATGGATGCCTACATGAAATCAGCTGTCTTGGCAGTGGCTCAAGTAGAAGTGAGTAAGAGCTTTCCAGCACAGCATGGGTGGTAAGAGAAATGAGGAAACAGATCATTAAGGAGTTTAGACACAAATAGTACAGCAACATCCTGAGAATAAGAGTTGAAGGAAAGATGTTTAAGTTTAATTTTTAGAATATGCATTGGGTATCTCTTCTTCTCATTTATTCAGACTAATTGCAATGTTATATCATTTCCCAGTTGTTTGGCATAGACTAATTTAATTTGTCCATTTTTATATTGTCAGATACTCAAAGACAGGGACAGGTCTTTTTATCTCCTATCTGTCCCCACCTCAGAGGACCCAGCACAGGGTGATCTGCGTACATTTAGTACTGAGCAAATATATTTGTGGTGTGTGTATATTCTCTCCGAACCCCTTAGCGCTATACCAAGATACAATCCAAGTTCTTGAAATTCTATCAAATCCACAAAATATGTAATAAAAGGAAAATACCTCAGTTGTGAAATATCCTAATAACGTTCCATGTTTATTCTAGAAATGTGGGATCATGCTAATTAGCATGCTTTTTCCTACTAAACTCTTCTAATATTACTAAATGTATAGCTTGGCTAGCATCCTTGAACATACACAAGTTAGCTCATCTTAACTATGCCAACCCTATGTTTTTTTGAGAGCTTTAAAAGTAGCCTTTAAAAAGGTGTTTGAAATATCAATTATCAAGTAAATTTGAGAAACAGCAAACCCAATTTTCCACTTTTTCAAGCCTCAGACACCTATAGGTTATAAGTAGTGCATCTGGAATGTTGAAAATAATAAACAGTATTGTGTTTGTATTTATGTGGCACCAGCATTATAGTTTGCAATGTGTGCTTATTTACACCACCTTATTTTATCTCAAAAGATCATTCCTGCTCCAAAGAGACAACATGTGCTAAATGAGTTTTATTTTATTTTATACATAAAATTTCATAACATTTCTCAGTGTACACTTCCTGAATATTCTCTTGAAATTAAGTTAGACATTGGAGAAATAGCAATTTTTTATTTTTAATTTGAAAACTGTATTAACTATACTAATAAAGAAAAATTGCCTTAAAACAAATGTATCTAATTAGAGCAGCCATGCTTTTTTATATTGAGATATATTTGACAAATATGAAACATTTCCAAATCTCTTTGGGGAGAGGGAAAAAGAATGTAAAATGCATTATCTAAGATCATTTAAAAATATTAATACTTTTTCCTACTAAACTATTTTAATATTACTAAATGTATAGCTTGGCTAGCATCCTTGAACATACACAAATTAGCTCATCTTAACTATGCCAACCCTATGTATTATTGAGAGCCTAAAAAGTAGCCTAGTATTAATATCTTAGATCATTTAAAAATATTAATTTCAAAGACCTAAGAGAAAAATATTCTTCCTTGAAGAATCATTTCTGAAAGAGTCACTGAAGATTTGTGAGGAATTTCATTGCAATATTTAAAGGAGTTAGTTGAAATGATTGTTCTTAGTCAGATCATTGCCAGTGGAACATCATTCTGGTCCAAATGAAATTCTGTCCAAAATCTGGTCAGATTTTAAGATTTTTTTCCTAAAATCCCAATCACACAGTCATTCAGTCAGTAAAATGGGTTGATACACTGATCTGTTTATAAACTGTTCATATAACTGAAACACATAAACCAATCCGTTTTAGTTACTTGCCACTGCATAGCAAATTATCCCCAAACATAGCAGCTTAAGACAAACAACATGTATCATCCCAGTTTCTGCTGGTCGGAAATCTGGGCTCAAGTTAGCAGGATCCTTGCACTCAGGGTCTTCTATAAAGAAGACTGTGGTCAAGGTGACATCCGGGCTGCAGTTGCATCTGAGAGCTCACCTGGGGAGGAGTCTGCTTCCAAGCTCAGGGCATGGGTGTTGACAGGGCCCAAATGCCATCCTTAGAGATGGGTTCTGCTCAGTCCTGAGAGAAGATGGTTTGCTGCTGAGCTTTTCATGGCAGGAATTGGAAGCAGTTTTCATATTTGATAAATTTCTACTATTTTCCTGCCATCGTGGTGAGTTGATAGAGCCCATTTTGCTCTCTAAGGGACTGTGAAATTTATAATTCATATAAAGCTTGAAGAACACCCTGATGTGGATAATCCTGATCAAACCTGCTTGGTGAGGTGAACCCCAACTATATCCCAGAATCTTCTATGCACCCATCTGGTCGAGTTACCTATTTATCTATATCTTAATTAATTTTAAAAAATAACTTGAGGCTTTATAAATGTAATATAAGGGATTGGGCTATAAATTATTGAACCCATATTGTGGACTAAATTATAACTGCTGGAAATCAATTCAGGTAATTCTGAGTATATGAGTTTCTTTTTTTTTCTTTTCTTTTTTTTTTTTTTTTTTTTTTTTTTGGTGGTGTCTCACTCTGTTGCCCAGGCTGGAGTGCAGTGGCGTGATCTCGACTCACTGCAACCTCCCCATCCCAGGTTCAAGAGATTCTCCTACCTCAGCCTTCTGAGTAGCTAGCATTACAGGCACCCGCCACCACACATGGCTAATTTTTTTTTTTTTTGAGACAGAGTCTCACTCTGTCACCTAGGCTGGAGTGCAGTGGCACGATCTCAGCTCACTGCAACCTCCACCTCCCAGGTTCAAGTGATTCGCCTCCCTCAGCCTCCCAAGTAGCTGGGATTATGGGCACGCACCACCACACCTGGCTAATTTTTGTATTTTTGGTATAGACAGGGTTTCACCATGTTGGTTAGGCTGGTCTCAAACTCCTTACCTCATTTGATCCACCCGCCTCGGCCTCCCAAAATGCTGGGGTTACAGGGGTGAGCCACCACACCTGGCCAATTCTGAGTATATGAGTTTCTTTGTTGCAAGAAATATAGCTATTGTTATAATATGGTTCTGATGTTTACTGCCATCCCTTCTTCATTACAAGAAGGGATGAAATCTTCGTCCAGGAGTGGCTAAGGGAATTGTGTTTCTTGATTCTCGTGCTCTTGGACTGGTTCTTTCTGCACTGTCTACAGAGCCTTTCCTGGGCCCACCTCTGGGAACCAGTTGATCCAAGCGTTTTCTGCTGGACGAAGGCCTTGCACATTCTCATGTGTGGGGGCTGCTATCAGAATTGCAGGGAGCTCTCTGTCTCCCTCTGCAGTGGCCTCAGAGGGCAAACTGAAGAGCAGGGCCTGCGTGTGCCATTTCTACCACACCTGCCGCCCTTTCTGCATCAGCCCAGTAGCTGCTGCAGCAGCAGGAGGCGAGTCTCACCTTCAGCACGTTCTCCTTCTGAGAAGGCAGTGGATGAACAGCCTGTCCACCACCCACTGAGACCAGAAGCTGCCCCTTCACTGCCTGGAAGTGCATCCTGCACCCATCAGCATCACTCCAAGCCCTTTTATCCCGGGATGAATTCCCGTGTCTCAATCCCAACCATCTTTCCTTTGCGACCGAATTTATAAATAATGGTCCAGATTGTTTTGTCAGCATCTTGCCTGACATGTTACTCTTAGCCGATATAAGGCCAACTTCTCTGTGACTCTTACTACATGAGATTATCAAAAATGGTCATCACTGATTTTTGAAATGTGTGTTTTCACATAGCTCTTAGCACAATGCGTGCAGTTTCATAATACTGTGAAAATCAAATCATATATCCACGTTCTTGGGAAACTGTTTAAAGGCTAAGCCTGTGTAAGCAGTGTAAGATAATGCTGATGTGGGCTCCTGTCCCTTGTAGACTGCTGCCTCCTGTTGTGAATCTGACCAGCAGCCTCAGAGGAAAGAGATTGTTTCTGTTGTGGAAGGCCACTGGCTGCTGTTGGTTTCCATCTGTTTTTGAAATTATAGATTTTTAGGGTGTTTTGTTGTATTGTTTTGACACAGAACTGGCTCAAAACTAACAATTATTTTCTTGTTTGTTTTTTATTTTTATTTTTACTCAGGTTTTGGAGCTAAATGTAAAAGCACAAGCTTAGGCATAGAAAAAATGTAGCCCAAACAATGGTTCTTTTCTCAACAAAATGCAAACTTTGTTAAGGTAATGCTGTGCGTGTGTGTGTGTGTATGTGTGTGGGGTCTGTGTGTGTGGCGTGTGTGTGGTGTAGTGTGTATGTGTGGTGTGTGTGTATGTGTGTGGGGTCTGTGTGTGTGGCGTATGTGTGTGTATGTGTGTGGTGTGCTGTGTGTGTATGTGTGTGTGGTTTGTGTGTGGTATGTGTATATGTGTGTGTTGTGTATGTGTGTGTATGTGGTGTGTGTATGTGTGTGGTGTGTGTATGTGTGGTGTGTATATGTGTGGTGTGTGTGTATGTGTGTGGTGTGTGTGTGGTACGTGTATATGTGTGTGGTGTGTGTATGTGTATGTGGTGTGTGTATGTGTGGTGTGGTGTATATGTGTGGTGTGTATGGTGTGGTGTGTGTGTGGTATGTGTATAAGTGTGTGGTGTGTGTGTATGTGTGTGGGAGTGTATGTGAGTTTGGGGTGTATGTGTGTGGTGTGTGTGTGTGGTGTGTGTGGTGTAGTGTTGTGTATGTGTGTGGTGTGTGTGGTATATGTATATGTGTGTGGTGTGTGTGTATGTGTGTGTGGGGTGTACGTGTGTGGTGTGTGTATGTGTGTTGTGTGTGTATATGTGTGTGGTGCATATGTGTGTGTGTGTGGTGTGTGTTGTGTGTGTGTGTGATGTGTTTGTGTGGTGTGTGGGTGTACGTGTGTGATGTGTGTGGTGTGTGTGTTTGTGTGTTGTGTGTGTGTGGTGTGTGTATATGTGTTGTGTGGTGTGTGTATGTGTTTGGTGTATTTGTGTATGTGTGAGCGGGTGTATGTGTGTGGTGTGTGTATGTGTGTGTGGTGTGTGTGTGGTGTGTGTGTGGTGTGTTTTGTGTGGTGTGTGTGTATGTGTGTGGTGTGTGTGGTGTGTGTATGTGGTGTTTGTGTATGTGGTGTGTTGTGTGTATGTGGTATGTGTATGTGTGTGTGGTGTGTATGTATGTGTGGTGTGTGTATGTATGTGTGGTGTGTGTATCTGTGTGTTTGTGTGTGTAGTGTGTGTGTGTGTTGTTCTGGCTAGTGGGGGAATTGGAGGATTTTACTTACCTGCAGCATTCCAGCGGATCTACAGGTTTTGAGGTTTCAGGATCGATTCTTTCGTGTATAGCTTTTGCAGAGCATGTGAAATATTTATTTGTCTCATGCAGGGCTACAAAAAGAGGCTTTTGCACACATCCCCAGACAGGGGGAAGTCCTAATGAGACCATGCATTCCAGGCCGGCCCGCAGTGGAGGGGTTGTCATAAGTGGCAGTTTGTGTCCATGATTTGAGGAGCACAGAAAACACCTCCCCTACCATCACCCCACACAGGGACACCGCTGTGAGTCACCTTCTAATTGGTCTCTCTACTTCCCCGTGCCCCCATCCCGCTGGTCTGCACAGCGTGGCCACAGTGATCTTTTGACGGGTAAATCAGGGCGCATCTCCGTCTGCGTCCACCGCTGCATAATAGTGATGGACGCTCACTCCCTGCAGAGGCCCGAGGCCACGAGACCTGACCCCACACTCCACACTCCACACTCTGCCCAACCACGATGACCTTTCTGTGTAACTCAGTGCTCCTGAGTCCCTTCCAAATTCAGGGCCTTTGAACTCATGGTGCCTTCTCCCCCTAGAACATTCAGACCTATAGGGAAACACACATGCCTTTTGTAGTAGAAAGGGAGGAAATAGCTGAAAATGTAGGTAGCTTTGTTTCTAGGCCTAGTGAAAGAATCACTGAGTTCCTTTCAATGCATTATTTTATTATTCCCCCCAAATTTTGAGATACGGTCACTTGTTGAGAGTGATGGTGGAGGAGTGGGCCAGTTTGAGGGAGTGTGATCTGGAGACAGAATGCAAGAGCGGTCTCAGCAGGCCGGGCACAGCCCCTGTGGATGGATGCGCGGGAAATACCAGGCTCTTGGGGGAGGAGGCTGCTCACTATCTCCCCTGAGTATTCAGCACCCACGACCTGCACGGAGACCCTGGTAGGTGTCCCCTGGGGCTAGGAATTTGGCAAGTAAGAGAGATCAGGTATTTTCAGAGGAGTGGTGATTGCCACAGGCCTCAGAAACACCGGGTCTGGGAAGAGTGAAGCCAAGAGGAGCCAGAGGTAGAAAATGGTGGTGTTGATGGATTAGCAGTGTTGAGTTGGGTCAGAAGTCCAAGGTGGTGGTTGTGCAAAGGCAGTGGAAGGGTAGAGTGGGGATATCAGAAGGTAAGTGCAGCTAGGTTCCTGTGATGATGGGATTCATAGGAGAAGTGAAAATATGAAGGACGGGTCAAGGGCTGACAGGTTTGAACAAGGCGTAGTTTGGGGGAGGATGACCTGGAAGACACTCAGTGGTGCTTTAGGAGGGGGACAGAGAGCCTCAGAGATCCCAGGGACTCACAGGAGGAGGAGGAGGAAAGATTCGGGGAGGGTCGTGGGGAAGGACCCCCCTGTCCATCTTGCAGCGTTTAGAACATGGGAGGGTGGGATTAGAAAGAGCCTGCATGGAAGAGAGGAAGCCGAGACCCCTGAGAGCCAGGCCTGTGCAGGTGGGAGCTGGAAGGGGACAAACTCCAGGAGAGACTGCTGGTGCAGGAGCAGCTGGCTGATCAAAGGGCAGATGTTTCAGGGAACACCGTGGAAGTTTAGACAGCCAGGGGCAGGTCAAGGATTAGGTCCTCCAAAGCCGTGTGGGGTGTCTGTGAAGAGCACTGTTGCTTGGCCTCCTGCAGTGATAATGTAGTAATAATAAGTTCTGAAGACCACCCACCAGCTTGCCAAGGGGATCTGACTCTTCTCCATGAACCAGTGACATGCCTGTAATTGGTAAGAAAAGAAGTGAAGAAATGTAAATGAAGAGAGAGTGGGTTTGCTGAGTGAGATGTGAGATAGAGAACACTCGATTGCTTTCATTAGGAATGGCCATCATTGTAATGTAGTGAGGGGAGAATGACTCAAGTACTTCTGGAAGGACTGGTTCTTCAATTCCGACGTAGCTGGCCATTATCGTAGCTCATTAGTGGCAATTACTTTCAGAGACTCAAAAGCAATTAATATAGACCCAGTTACTCAGGCCTTCTGAACAACAATTAAGGCATAGAGAGTTTTAGTGTGGATCATTATCTCTACTTGATGGTTACAGCATTTTTAAACTACGACAAACTGTACAGATTAATCATTGTTGTGTGTTACGACCAATTCCATTTGTGATTTAGGGCTCCAACTGCTGTGGAGAAGATAATTTCACAACATGTTAACTTAAGATGCCAGCCATAGCATTACCAGTAATATCACACGCATTGCCCTTTTAGCACAGGGTTAAAATTAGAAAACCATTTCTTGAAACAGGTTAGGACATGCTTTTGCTTGTCTTCTGCTCAACTAAAATTATTGTTTTTATGATGCCAAATAGACTTTCCAGAATGTCATTGTCAAAAGTTTATGGTGTTCCCGCTTCTCTCTTGGTGTTTTTCACAGTAAGGCAACTCATCATTGCCGAGCCTGGCGACGCTCTCCATGCACAGCATAGCAAGTGCCTGGGAATTTTGTAGTTTTCACAAACAATAGGTTTTCATTTTCTAATGTTCTTTTTCCCACTGTATCAGGTTGCTTTAGTCTTGAGAGTTTATGATAGATGGAAGTTTGAGCATTGAGAGAACCTTGGGTACCGTCCTGGCAGGCTGCGTGCAAGAGTAAGCAGGGGCTATTCGGGCTTGGCAGGCTTTGGTGAGGCATCAGCTGTGACTGTGCTTTGGGCCAAGTCCATAACCACAGTTTTGGAATCTGTAGAAATTAATGAGTGCAAGTGGTGAGTTGCTTGAACAGTTCCCAAATTGGGTGCCGCCTTGGGTCTCTCAGTGACTTGCCTCTAGTGGACGGTGGTGCCAATTTAACAGACACCAGAGTGTCTGGGTTTGTATGATTTCTCTTGAGTGTGTGTGCCTGTCCGTGAGGGTAGGTGTGCATATGTGTGCACAAAGGGAGTAAGTAGTAAGTACTTTCTCACTAAAAGTGGGAGATGAAGGGGAGGAGGAACATGCAGGGTTATTCTTCCAATGGCACTGCAATCTGCTGTATAATTCAGAAATCATAAACTGGAAAAATAGCCATTCTTTTAAGTAGAAGGAGCGTAACAGTGGCTAGGCATCACTCCATAATCTAGCTCTCCACCTGAGCAACACGTGCAGAGCTTCAAGAGGCTCTGAATTCTTTCTGGCTGCCAGAGATAACCAATTATACAAAGAAGAAAAATCTGCCAGGTGCAGTGGCTCATGCCTGTAATCCCAGCACTTTGGGAGGCCAAGGTGGGCAGATCACCTGAGGTCAGGAGTTCGAGACCAGCCTGGCCAACATGGCGAAACCCCATCTCTACTAAAAATACAAAAATTAGCCAGGCATGGTGGTGGGCGCCTATAATCACAGCTACTCAGGAGACCGAGACAGGAGAATCGCTTGAACCCGGGAGGCAGAGGTGGCAGTGAGCTGAGATTGTGCCACTGCACTACCGCCTGGGCAACAAGAGCAAAACTCCGTCTCAAAATAAAAAAGAAAAGAAAAAGAAAAATCTTATGTTTTCTTACTCTTGGAATGAAGAAATATGCAAGTACGAAAATTCATGAGGAGATTCGGTAGGTATCTAGCTCTGATTAAATGATTTATTAGAAATAAGAATTAGTGAAATCAACCACTTTTTAAGTTACAAAATATTACAATGATCAGTTTTAACCTCACCCCCTGCCCTGAATGAACTAATTGTTTTTCTTAGAGCCAGGTAAGGGCCTGCCATTGGCAAGCTTGCACCTTGAGTTAGGGTTAGAGTTGTCATGAGTCAAATGCCAGCCATGTCCTCTTCTGCCCCCCATGGGGGGGCCCAAAGTGCAGGAGTGACAGAGAGGAACAGAGGCAGATGGGCAGCAGGGAGATGGACTGGCAGGTACCTGTGTCCTCACAGGTAATTACGTGTCATTCCCTCTGGATGGTTTCTGAACTGTGGGAACTCCCCCATGTGCATTGATGGGAGAAGAGCCAGGCAGAGACACGGTAAGGAGGGCAAGTTATCCATGTGACCTTAGGGATACTTGGGGCAAAAGTAGGCTAACCTCCGTGCACACCCTGGAACAAAATCTTTAAAAGAGAGAGCACAGAAGAGAGAGAGAGAGCACTTTGCCCGGAATGAGCCCCATAATCAGACACCACATCTCCCAAATTAGCAGCACCCTTGGTTTCTGGGCAGGCTGAGTTTCCCGCGCGTCGGAGGGGATAGGATGTAGCGGTGAATAACAGTAAGACTCCAAAATCAAGTGGGTATGTCTGACGATCTGCCTCTCTCTCCCCCTTACACACACACACACACACACACACATGCACACATACTCTCCCTCCCCCTTACACACACACACATACTCTCCCTCCCCCTTATACACACACACATGCACACACACATTAACACACACACACATTCATTGCTCTTAGTATATTTCCTCCCTACCTCCTTAACTTTGACCATTGACAAATTTTTCTCTCTTAAGAAGTCTTGAGGCAGTGCACTCGGGCATAACTCCCTTCCTTGTGATACATCCACGTCTTTGTGAATGATGAATGGAACGTTGCTCACTTGTTAGTAATTCCAACAGACAAAGACGTGGCCTGAGACTGCCCCTCACCTGCTCTATAATGGCTTCTTGCAGCCTGCTTTCCTCCCTCCAGCGCTGCCGTTAGAGCCTGAGGGGTCCAAGGGAGTCAGTCTGCCCCCGTGAGTCTTCATGTGGTGTAGATGATGTCAGGGTCAGAAACTGACATTCAACACGAGCTGAGGCCCATGGTCCCAAAAATGTGTGTGAGCTGTAGTTGTCCAAAGACGTGAGAGGACAAGAGGCTTGAGTCAGGGAAGGCCGACGGAGAAGAAAGCCTGGAAGGAGAGGAGGATCCGGGGTGAAGAAGAGAGGAATGGGGAGAACCTTCCCGGTGCGATCACTGCAGAGGAACAGAGGCCGCCATGGGAAACACCTGCAGCGAGCATCAGCGAGGAGCTGAAAGTGCTCAGGTATCAAAAGAAGGCAGAAGAAAGAGCAGCAAAAAGGAGAGAAAAGTCAACATAAAAATTTAACACGGGTCCCTTCTGCTGACAGAAGCCTTCCCAGTGCCTATTGCGGCCACCTTCCTAATGTGACCTCAGATCCAAATTTAGAAACAGCCTCTGTTCCCTCCGCTCCCAGACTGTTTTTTCTGCTTGCCCTGCATTCATTTCTTGGAAGTTTTTTAAGTATATAAGAGCCCAGGTTGGCCAGGGCAGGGGTTAGGGAAGCAAAGGAACTGGAAACCTGTGTCCGCTGAATTGCAGAGCAGGAATAAGGGACTCTGCAGAAAAGAGCATGACAAAGAGCCGCGGATACAAGCGAGGGTAGCAGGAGAAAGAGCTAAGAAGGCAGAGGTTAGTTGTTTGATCGTGCACTTGGGGAAGGTGGAGGGAGAAGGGGCCGTGAAGAGATGGAACGGACTGGCAGAGGAGATTTGTGTGGGGAAAAGGAGACAGAGGGGACAGGAAGAAGGGGACAGAAGAGTAAAGAGCCTGGAAGGGCCAGGGAACCCTGCCTGCCATGGTCCTCCCCCACTTCCTCCCACACACCCTGATGCAACTGTGACTGCCCTGGCACCTCAGCAGCTTCAGAACAGGGAAAGGAGGAGAACACGGGTTTCACAGGAGGAGAAGCAAGGAGGACCCAGGGAGCTGGGGTGCCCTGTGATTCTCAACCCTGTCCACATGATCTGACCTGGGGGATGAGAGCTTATTAGATCCAACTTGAGTTGACAACAAAGAACTTCTGGAGCCTTTCAGGCCCTTTTGAAACAGGCAGATCTTCTCTGCAGTCATGTCTAATGCAGCAAAGAAAACAACAGTGTCCCCTGCAGGTGCAGGGACTTCTGGCCTGAGACAGCAGAATAATCGCTCCTGGAGTGGGAAGGTTGGCTTGTGTATTGTGCGCGGCCATCAGCAGCATCTCATTTCAGACTCTCTCATATCCCCGGAATGTCCCGGGGTTACCGAAAAGGCCCCATTCTCCTTCCACCTGCCTTCTCCTGCTGCTAGAAACCAGGATTTTTGACTATTGTCCCTGCATCCCCACATGTCACCCAGAGGCAGCCTTAGGCCCCCTGTCCTGGGCCACCCTTGGCATAACTGGAGTAGACCCGGGTGCCTACCACAGCCTCCTTTTCCTCAAGGGCAGCTGCCCTCTCGGTGCCCTGCTCACTGTGAGCAAATACATATTTAAAGACATATTCTGCTACTTCCCAAAGGGACCAGCCACCACCTGCACTCCTCGTCCTGGTGGAAACAGTCTGAGTGCTTGCTTTGGTAATCAAAGGTTTCATTGAGTGCAGATGTAGTGATCCTGGCAAAACCCTGGAAACAGAAAGTCAGCTGAAGGGGTGTTTCTGGAGATGAGGAATTGTGCTGGTTAGCCACGGGCATGTCCTGAGGATAATTATTTGTTTACAACATTTCTGTGAACAAAGAACATATAGGGACAGAAATAAGTTAGTTTCCAAGAATCTTGTGATGGGCTCCATTTATCTGACCCATTGGGTTTGTAGAAGAGGACAGAATGCTGCTTTGGTTCTCCTCCTTGGACAGTGGAACTAGAGAACGGGAAGCTGAGATGGCCGAGCTGAGTGGACAGAGGAGGGAGGAAGCCCCTCACCTCGCCTGCTTCCCACAGGGTCCCTTCCTCCTCCTCCTGTTTCCTAAGCTTCTCAGCTGGGCTTCAGATGTCAAGGTTTCCTGGCTTCTGCCACTTCACCTTCTCATCTTAGCTGCCACTGGACCATAAGCATTTCAGGTTGCTCAGATCTCTCCCACCGCAAAATAAAGCAAAGACAAAAAAGTTCTCTCTCTCTCAACCCATACCCATGTCCTCCTCTGGTTCTTCCCTTCACAGTCAAATGACTAAAGAAAGAAGCAGCTGCACTCACCTCTCTGTCCCCTCCCCACTCACTCTTCCGTGTGTCTCCCACAGAGTGGAATGAGTGCTCAGGGCTCAGCCACCCAGCCCCTGGGGAACAGTATGAGTGTCTTCCCCATGTTATACCCCCGGGGGAAGGTATGAGTGTCTTCCCCATGTTATCCATTAGGAGACGGGCTTTGGGAGATTGCAAGGTTTCTGCAGTGCCAGGGATGGAGGGCTGTGGTTCCAGGTATTCCTCTCTGCAAACACCTGCTCTTGATGGGGGCTCTGCTGCCCCTGAGCCCACTGGTAACTGTACTTGGCCCCCACCACACAGCAAAACTCTCACCCATCTTACCAGCAGTCTTCTCGCCCTGGAATTCACTGGTGCCTGTTTTAGGCTGCCTGGGCTGCCATGGCAAAATACCACAGACTGGGCAGCTTAAACAACAGACGTGTGTATCTCAGAGTTCTGGAGGCTGGAAGTACAAGGTCAAGGTGCCAGCAGGTCGGTTTCTGGTGACGGCTCACCTCTTGTGTAATTTTGGGTGGACACAAACATTCGGTCTATGTGCCAATCTCCTCAGGCCTCCTGTGGCAGAATTTGAGGCCGCTCACCCCTCCCTCTTCCTCAGTCCTTGGTTCCACAGGCCCTGGCTGCCCTCTGGCTGCCTCCTGGCCACTTAGGAGGTCCTCAGGTGCTCAGACTTGATTGGATTTCCCAGTCCCACCCAAGGTCATCTTCTCTTCTCTTGCGCACTCACCCTGGGCAACTTAACCTACTACGGCAACTACTGCATCGGCTGCTGCCACCCAAAACGCGATACACTGAGTGGTGGCAGAAGCCTCCCCAGGAAGCCTGTTAGAAACACTGACTCGGGACCCAGCCCACACCCTGATCAGTCAGAAGCCTCGCGTGGAGGAGATCTGCATATGATTCGTGCGCACACTGCTGAGACACATGAACCTCAACAACAAGGCTCCCGCATCACATCTCTGTTCTGGACCTCTGACTCGGGTGTCAGACCTGTGTGCTGCTGTCTCCGGGGAACGTAGAGGGCCCTCAGACACAGTGTGTGCAACTGATCTCATCCGTTTAATCCCACGTTGGCCCCACGTCCTGCCTGCAACATCAGCACTTTAGGAAAAACACCATTGTCCCCTCCTTACCAGGACCCTGGCTAGAGACCTTCTGTCTCCCTGGCCCAGGCAGCATCGCCATCCCCCTGCCTTTGGGATATGTCCCTTCCACTTCCCCATTGCCACTGCCCAGTTCAGCCCACCTTACCTGTTATCTAAAAAACCACCTCTGCCTCCAGGGCCTCTTTGCCTCAGCCTCCCCGCCCCACACTTCTTCAATCTGTGCTGGCCACGCTGCCTTCAGGGTGACCTTTCTCAGTGCCAATCAGGTAACTCATTCCCAATCTGCACCTCTTCCCTAACCCCCTTGCTGTCCCACCTGCTCCTTCCCTCTCACCTCTGGGCCTTTGCAGGCGCTGTTCCCTCTGCTGGGAGCACCTGCCTCCTCCACTGACCTCACAGTTCTCCCACGCCCTTCCAGCCTCTTCAGCAGCAGGCCTTGGACTCCACAGGAGTGGGCTCCCATACCCGTGCACACCCACGGGGACCACAGCACTGCTGACGGTTTTCCGATTTCCTGCCTATGAGTCCCCGCACTCCAAGGGACTTTGAGATGCTTAAAGGTGGCTTGGGACATGGCTGATCCACAATAGAGCCTCGAGAAATATCCGACCCATTGCAAAATGGACCGTCCCCCACCCCCATGCGGTTTCAGGGCCGCTCCCAGGCTGTGAGTGTTTATGTGAAAGGAGTGTTTGCCACGTCGCTCGGGACGCCCATCCTGGCAATGAGCAGCTGCAGCTTCCAGGATTTTACCTTCTTAAATGCACTTCTGTTAAGCTGTGCATGTAAGAGGTCTGTTCTGTTGAAATATTTCCCAGAGACTTTCATACTAAGGAGGGCTTTATTGTTATAAATATTTAAACCTGCTTTGCAGCCAGTCGCTACGATTACTCAGCTCAGAAAGCATGCACAAAGCCTGCCTCTAGTGGACGATCCTGTGCTATTCATCGGCCTCTCATTTTAAATGTCTTCCTGATTTCAATTTAAAAGCGTATCTTTATATAACATATACAATTTAACTTTTTCTTTTTAAAAATATGTATAGCTAGTTTTTGTTGTGCAATTCTATGAGCTTTAAGACCTGGATAGACTTTTGTAACCATCACCACAAATTGGGATATGGAACAGCCCCATCACCCCAAAAAACTCCCCCTGCTCTGCTTCCTTCAGGGCAAGCCCTCCCTCCACCCCTAGTCCCTGGCAGCCACAGACCTGTCTACAGTCTTGTAGTTTAGCCTTTTCTAGAAGGTCATATAAATGGCATCAAGCAGTATATAAAGACTAGCTTCAAAGTGGAGAAAACTTTAGGCCTCTAAGGCATTTTAATGCCCGCATAGTCTTCATCTTTAGGGTAATTTTGCTCTAAAAACGTTTTTGCTGTTTTGGTGAAATATGTAATACTAGGATAGACTATGGAAGATGTGCTTACTGAGTTCTTACCCTCAATGTCAAAAACCCAACAGACTTTCATTACTGCATCCCCTCTGTACAGGATCAAAGTGCCCACCCTTAGAAAGTCTGATGAGACAGAGAAGAATGACTTGCGAGGATCAAGAAAGACAGGCTGAGTGAGCAGTGTCCTGGCCTGAAGCCTCTGAGCACTGCGGTTGTCCCTCAGCACCCCTGGGGAGTGGTTACCAGAACCCCCGTGGGTACCAAACTCCACAGAAGCTCAAGCGCCTTAGGTAAAATAGTGTAGTATTTCCCTATAACCTACACACATCCTTCCGTGTACTTGAAATCATCTCTAGGTTACTTGTAGAATCAAATACAATGTAAATGCTATGTAAAAAGTTGTTCTACTGTATTGCTTAGGAAATAATGACAAGAAAAAATCTGCACATGTTCAGTACAGATGCACCCATCCTTTTCTTTCTTCCCGAATCTTTTTGATCCTTGGTGGTTGAATTTGTGGATACAGATCTCACAATACTCAGGGCCGACTGTAATTCTGAAGGAGGGGGCTTTGGGGCGGGAGCCTACAGGAAGCTGGAGGCAGGGCACTGGGGACTTGAAAGTGAAAAAGTCAGTCATGAGCATGGGAGAAAGGAGAGGAAGGCAGGGGAAGGCACTCCAGATGAAAGAACCCCCTAAGTGCAGGCTTGAGGTGGGATGGCACAGTGAGGGCAGGAGAGGGATGATAGATGGTCCACCTGGAGCACAGTATATGCAGTGGAGGGGCAAGCAGGCAGGCCAAGGTGGGGCTGAGTGTCTGGAGTTGACCCTCGTTGCCACCGTCTTGGAGGGAGCTGAATGGTTCCAGAGTAGAGGCTGATGCCACGTGACCAGGTGAGGTGTCTTGTTGAGACCGGGCACAGTGATTCATGCCCATAATCTCAGCACTTTAGGAGGCTGAGGCAGGAGGATTATTTGACCTTAAAAAAAATTGTTCTGTTGAACTTATTGCCTTGAGACAGAGGAGCTTTCCCAGGATGGCCATTTCCTACCTGCCGGCCTCAGCTCCCATCGCCTGCCCTTATGCCCACTAAACGCGCTTGTCCAATCTCATGGTTAAGGAGCCACGGGTTATGGTTTTGGCCCCATAGATGAGGGAGAAATTTGCTGGAGGGCCTGTGGGAGTCTTTGGCTCTCTTGCAAGAGGAATACAGAGTTGGCCTTTCTCTTCCCCACTGTCCTTGCCTTCATGAAGCTGTGCTGCCCAGGCTGTCACGGTGGGACACGGAGCCCAGCCCCTGATGGCACCATCCATGTGTTGCTCTCGATCCCTGTTCTCTAGATTAGCTAAGCCAGAAAAATTAGCCTGATTTGTCTAAGCGTCTGCCCATCGGGTTTTCCCTTACTTGCCACTAAACGAGTCCTGAGTGGCTTTGCTCGTGCTGTTTCCTCCACCTGGATCTCCTTCTCTACCTTGTCCAGCTGGTGATCTCTTCCATCCAGAAATTTAACTTCAGTCTGAGTGAGCACCTCCCCAGATACCCCAGGCATCAAACACAATCATTGCTTACAGGGCTGTGTCCCTCATCAAGGAGCTGTGAGCCCCTCATGAGCAGGAACTGCTCCTTACTTCTCTTTGCACCTGGAAGGTCATAAATGATCAGCAAATATTCGTTGGATAAATGAAAGAACAAATGAATTCCATAGAAACAAGCAAGGGAAAAATGGGAAATGATTTCATCAATTCTTGCTAAGTCACAGGCTTTCTTCCTTCACAAAAGGATGCGCAAGAGAGTTGAGGATCTTGAGTCTGACAAGCAGAGAGGTGCTTCTTGTTGTATTTATCAAAGCTTCGCTATTAATCCCTGCAGGGTCAGTGAACGCATGTCAGCTCTGCACTCAGTCCTGCTGCACTTCGGTGGACTCTCACCAGAGGTCAAAGGCTATCAGCTCACTCCTTTTGTCTGACCAATGCCTTGGGTGGCTGCTCTCATCCTGACTTGAGCTAAATTGGGTGATCTGCCTGGAGACTTAGAACCTTATTCCTCCCCCCAACCATTCCCACTGCCTTTGCCTTGATCTGGACTCTTCTCTCCTCTTGCCAGGACCAATGCTGCCGCTTTCCACCTGTCCTTCCCTCCTGTGCATCCCACACAGCCTGCAGCTAAGCATGGTTCTGAGCAAGACACAGCTTCATGCAAAATATTGTACCTCTGCTTGAAGACCCAATGTGAACATTGCCCATTGATTTTTGTTTCTCGATCCCCAACTTCCCATGCCCCAAAATAGCATCCTGGGACCATAGAAATGGAATTGAGCTTTCTAAAATGATTCTGCCCATCTCCCACTTTACAGATGAAGAAAGTGAAGTCCAGGAAGTTGACATTGCCTCATTCAAAATCATGTGACTCATTAGCAGTAAGTCAAGCCTGTAGCCCAGCTTGTCACCAGGGCTGTTTTCTTCATTACATCACCATGTCTCTTCCTCTTCACTGCCTGCGTGACTATGTCTCGGCAGTCAATGGATACAGCACAGCATTGCCAGCTTGCCATGTACAAGGGGGACCTGTTTCAGATATTCCATGGAGACCCTGGCTGGAGGATTGCAGGAGAGTCCCAGGAGGCAGGACTGCCAATGGCACCAGGCTTCGCAGCCATGCACCTGCAGCCCTCAGGCAGCACTGTCCATTGTCATACGAGTGTGGCAGGTGTGAGGCATCGCATCTGCTCACCCCGGGGATAATGCACAGCAGCTACAGGCAGATTTCGGGCCAGAGAGCAACCGAGTGAGCCTTGCAGCCTCTGCTGCCAGCACAGGCTTGTTCCTTCAACACTGGTGGAGAGAGACACGCTGTCATCAGGCCCAAGAAATACTGCCTTCCCCATCCTATCCCTGGTCACTGGGTGCCCGCAGAGTGTCCCAGAGGAGGGAGGGAGGGACCCTCCACTGGTTCAAATGGCCTGTTCTCAGAGATGCAGCAATGGACCCTCGTGAATACTGAACTGATAATCATGGGAAGGAGACTGGCTCTCCTGGATTCCCTCATGATTCCTCTGAGTGACAATGTGATGTTGGCCGACTGTGTCTTCTTCAGAATATCATATACACTTGAGGTCTCCAGGAGCCTCCAATTACATTATTTTCCTGGCTCATACAGTGACAAGTAATTCTTATCCTGGATTCCTCGTTACTGAGACTTTTCTTGCCTTTTTTGTTAGCTTATGATTTATTCTAGGACTTCCTCCAACAGGTTATACTTAACTGTCTACCTCAGTCTCTGGAAGTTTTAAAAATGTTCAGCTAAATAAAAGAAGTAGATTCTCCCTGGAAACCAAATACCTATGGGCCTCACTGAATTAATAATTTATTTATTTCTAAAAAAAGGTTTTATTAATTAAGTCAAAATTTCATTGTAATTTTAAAATAATCTTGTGGTCTTTCTCCATGTGTCTGAAGCTTGTAATCACTCTTATTGTCCTGTGAATTCTGATATGCAGTTACCTGCTAGCTTAGTGGGTAAACATTTTCTCTATTAATGAGCAGGAGGCTTATTAAACTGTGACAGTTTAGACTATTCTTTCAAGGCCATTGATCAGTGAAAAAACAGAATCTGGATGCTAAAAACTGTGCCCATGTGAATTAATTTACCCCCATCTTTCCCTGAGCCATCACCTGAGTATTTGTTCCTAGGTTTGTTGGCTGCATTTGCTTAATTTTTATCTTGTGATTTCATTGAGAGGTGTAGTTGAGTGGGTGTACTTACAGCTTCTGTTCCTGTTTGAAATATCATTTGGAAACCTGATCACACCCTGCACAAGTATGCTTGTGAGGCATACTAATTCAATACCATTTGAGCAGGTGCCTCCTAACGCTGCCCTCCTCAACCTTTCTCAGCATGAATGTACGCTTTTTCATGTGCTGATTTTAACATAATCTTTGGTTCACAGTAACAGAGAATTTTGTTTGAAAAAATTCAGGGATTGAAGGGATATTGACATGTACCTAGTCACCATCTATCACTCCATCTCAGGAGCAAGTGTTCCTTGCTCTCGTGACTTTGTCCTGGTGACACAGAATTCATCCTTGTAGACCACTTACTTTCTTCCCAGGCTGGGCAGTTCTGGCTTTTGCAAAGTTCTTCATCAGCTAATTTAAGTCTGCTTTTTAAAACTTCCCATCTGCTGAATCTCATTCCACCTTTTATGCGGCAGTGTCCACTGCGCTTTCTGCAGTGACGGAAATGGTCTACAGTTGCACTGGCCAAGATGGTGGCATTACCCACACGTGGCTCTTGAGCATGGGGAATGTGGCTGGTCTGACAAAGGAACTCAATTTGTAGTTTTCTTTAATTGTAATCAACTTAAAATTACATAGGCCATATGTAGCTAGTGGCTACCCTATTGGGCAGTACAGTTCTAAAGCAATGCTGAATATTTAACGACCTTCAGATATTTGCAGACAGCTCTCCTATCCACATCTTTAGCCTTCTTTGGCCCAGCCGAACAAGTGTTTCAGATCATGCCTCTGGACTCCTTTCTGTCTCCGGACTTCGTAACAGCATGGTCACCCTTCATTCACCTCATTAGATATCTGAAGTAATGACGGAAGTAATCGATTGAGTAAATTAGTGAATGAATATGTGATTTTAATTCTTCACATAAACCTCATCCTAGCTAATCCTCTTGTCTTCTTTATAAGCTGAGGTTTTTGGTTTTATGACTGTGGATGGGAAGAGGGGATGCAGAGGATAGGACCAAGCAAGGTCGTATTTTCTTTAATAACCACATCCCCACCTGTTTCCCAGTTGGGAAAAACACAAACCGATTTGCTCTCGGGTACCACTAGTTTATTATAATAAGATGTACAAAGCAAGGCAGATGACCCTGCAGTGATAGCAGGGATGGTCACTTGTTTGGCAGAATGGCCCAGGGGAGCATCTCTAGCCGTTTCAATCCCAAGAAAGCACCTTGGGGTAGAGATGATGCAAAACCAACCTGTACATCGAAATCTATTTTTTATTATTCAAAAATTACAACCTGGTCTTCTGAAACTTATTTTTTTATGCTTTTACATCTCCTACAGCCTTACACATAATTTCTAGTGTCTTTTTAGAACCTCTCAGTATTGTAACATTTAATGCGTTCTCAGCAGCGGGTAGGTCCGTGTTATGTTTGCATTTGAAGTAGAAGAGCTAAGCTAAAAAATATGCCTTTGTTTACTAATAAGGTAGATACTATTTTTTTGTTGCTGTTGTTTGATATGGAGTTTAACTCTTGTTGCCCAGGCTGGAGTGCAATGGCTCAATCGTGGCTCACTGAAACCTCCACCTCCCAGGTTCAAACAATTCTCCTGCCTCAGCCTCTCGAGTAGCTGGGATTACAGGCATGTGCCACCACACCCGGCTAATTTTGTATGTTTAGTAGAGACGGGGTTTCTCCATGTTGGTCAGGCTGGTCTCGAACTCCCGACCTCAGGTGATCCGCTCACCTTGGCCTCCCAAAGTGCTGAAATTACAGGCATGAGCCACCACGCCCAGCCGATACTATTTTTTACTCAAACCAAAAAATATATTCTGCGAGTAAGTGATCCACTGTATCTCAGCCCATAATGATGGCCTCGACAAGGAATGAGATGGCCACAGTCAGTGTCACCCACTGGACCACAGTGATGGGCGTGGTGAACCAAGAAGTGTGGACATGGCACTGTGCTGGGTTACAGTAGTGAGGGAAGCAAGCTTAGACTAGGGAGCAAAATCAACCTGTGATGAGTTGTGCCTTCCTTTAAGCATCTTGGCATTTGTTGTTGGCATTGAGGTTATAGACCGGTGGTGCAAAGACGAGGCCACAAGGGCCACTGGAGAAGAGGGAGGAGAGCCCAATGGCTAGAATCTGGAAGGACAGCCACACGTTTCCCCCTCTGATTCTTTAATTCACCCACAACATATGCCCATGGTGAGTTCTTCAATTGCAGGCTTTTGGTACAGGAAATGAGCTCTTGCTAGAGATTTAAGACGGAGTCAAATCATGGGTCTAGCCCTAATGATGAGTAACTGATGGTGAGGATGAGAGTTGTGACAGTGCTGGTGGTCATGAGGAGGATGAGGATGATGAAGAAGAAAACAGCAGTAACAAGGACGATGATGAAAACCTGCTAATTATGGTGCTGATGCCAGGGATAATTATGGTAGTGATAATGATCATGATCCCAGGAGGACTTACTGTCATTATTTCTCAGTGGCTTTTCTTTGGGTAGAGAGTGAGATAATTAAAGTCTGGAAGGAGACAGGAACAGGGGGCGTGCAGTTCCTCAGATCCATGGGTCCCGCCCAGCTGCATGCTGGGAGTGAAACTATCAAGATTAAGAGCTATGCTGTTTCAGCAGCATTTCCACTGTCTAAATATAAACAGCCTCAGGCCCTGATCCAGCAGAGGAGACCACAGCTGCCAAATGCATCGCCAGCTGCAGGCCCTGGCTGGGTTTCTTTAGGGGAAAAGGCCATCCCACCATGGACAGGTTCCAAAAGGCATGAGCCTGCGAATAGAATTTGAGGTTCAAGGAATGCTAGACTGTGCGTCTGTGTTCAGGGTCACAGAGCGAGTCTGAAGGGAGCAGGATGAGGACATGGGTGCCCTGCCTCCAGGGCCTGTGCTCTCTGCTGGTACAGACAAGGGCCTGGTGAGATGGTAGAACAGGGGCGGCTACTGCAGTGGTGCCACCTGCGTAGGAAGACGGGAATCTAGTGGGGATGGGCAGGGGCCAGGCTCCCTTTGCTTTCGCAGGCACCCAGCTCCAGTGGCCCCTCAGTCCCAGCTACAGATGGACTTTGAGATCTGATGACAGGATCTGCTGTTATCCCACCTCTGGATCAACGGCGCCATCATCGGTGCCCCAGCTAGCCAGCAGATGTGGGCCAGAGTAAGGCTTGACTGGTCCACATGTCCTTTCTGGCTTAAGACACTGCTTATCTTGACTCAGGGAGAGAAGGAAATGGAAGAAGAAGAAGAAAGAAGATGCATTTAAAACATATTACCAAACTAATGCCATGAACACATGAAATGTCAGCCTTTTGATTCCCTCCTGCCAATACGCATCCGTTTATCCAGTGCTGACTTACTCAGCCCTGAACATGCACCAGGCGCTCTCGCAGGCACAGGGAATACTGTGGTGGACAGAGCCGGGGAAGCCCCTGCGCTCGTGGATCTTACATCCTGCTGGAAAGACCGTGCATAAATAGATGTGTTTATCATGTGTCAGGCAGGACACGTGCTCCACAGGAAAGTGACGTAAGGTAAAGGACAGGGAGCAAAGGGGAGTGTCTGGGGGAGGACGGCAGGGACGGCAGGGACGGCATGGAAGCAGTGGCCCAGCAGACGCAGGACAAGGTCCTGTGATCCGAGGAGGGGTCTCAGGGTGGAGGGACAGGGAGCAGGCCAGCGTGGCTACAGTGCATGATGTCCAGGATGAGCAAACGGAGTGATGTTTGAACATGTCATCCGGGAAAACTACACACAGGGGCAGGCTCACAGCCACTTTTTCCCCAGCTGATCTTGCTTCCTCTGTTACCAAACCACCCTCAATACAGCCTCGCAAACTGAGCAACAGAGGAGGGGGAACACAACTAATACCCCATTTGGCAGGCTGGCTGAAGGCTGTTGAAGAAACAGCAGAAACACCTGGTAATCCTTGCAGGCGTCACCCAGGCTGCGGGCCGGAGCTGTCATGGGACAAGCAGGAGGCTGGAATGGAGCTGGGATGGGAAGGAACACAGGCCATCAGCTTCCCAGGCCCCACGTTAATTGTGTAATATCATCACAGCAGGGTAGGATGCCCTGTGAGGGCACCTAACAGGTGTTCATCACATTCATCAGCATTGCCCTACCAACGACCGTATTTACATCAGGCATAAATGCAGTTTACCGCACTCTGTGAGAACTGGGGATTAATAGCTCCGGTCCAGCTAGATTCTGATTTCCTTGGTAGGAGGAGGCAGAACAGCACACATCTTGACTGAATAATCGTGCATTTTGCATGGTTAATAATTCTGAGAGCAGGAAAGCTACCTTCCTAGGATCACAGAGAGCTTACTTTCTTTTCTACGAATCTTTGAAAAACCAAACAGATGGGATTTTACCTTAAGAGTTAGATTGCACTCTTACACTGTGCTGTTCAAATTATGAATTGGCCTCACTTGGATGTTGGACTATTGATTATCAACTCTGGCAAGCTCTTTATTCAGAATCTTAGGACATGCACATTAAAAGAAAAAATCCTCTCTTTGACCTGGTTGCCACCAATGTGTATCTACATAGGATGAAAAAATGCATCACGTACTCAGAAGAACGGGCTGCAGCCCCGGAGCCCCAGTCCTTCTGCCAGCTCTGGAGCAGGGGGAGCTCCTGGCTGCACCTGAGGTGTCAGTCTCCAAGAACCTGAGCCCTTTCCACACGCATGGCTCTGTTCTAGGCACTCGGGGGAGCTCAAACAGAAAGAGAGTAAACCTGCTGCTGTTCAGTCAGAGACCCAAGTCATACTCACAAATGATCAAGCTAGTGAACTGGATGGCATTTTCACAGCTAGATCTTGTACTGCAATTATAGATTGTCACCATAAAGCTTTTGAGAGCAATTTAATAGTTAATAACATCCTAATTCTATGATGTGAGTAATCTGTGCTCTGAGAACGGCCTACATATAGGCAGAAGAACCATGAGGAGCTCTCAAAGAAAATGTGCCATATATTCAGGCACCTGGGGAGTGGTTGTAGAAAGTGTGACCTTCCAAGGCAATTGATTTTGGTTGTTCTTTAAAGGATCACTCTAGCAGTCCGGTCATTCTTATGGGTCCTCTGGTCTAGATGCCCCTCATGGAGGATCTTCTAATCTTGCATTATTAGAAATGGCAGCTAAGTGGATTATGGATGGAAACTTTCATGTTGTAAAAACACACCACCAGAAGTCAACCATTCTTATTTTGCCCACGTATTAATGCTATTTCCAAAACTGCCCGACAGCTCACGGGTGTAGGGGTTTAGGGGTCTATATTCCTTGTTAGACTCAAGCTCCTTGAAGGTAGGGAATGTGTCTTACTCATTACTGTATCCTCAGTTTCTTGCCCCATTGTGCAAGCTAAATAAACAATGAATGAATCAATGAATCAATGATGAATAAAAGGAAATTAGTTAAATTCCCCTTAGATAGCAATAATTGTCCTTCTCACCCCAGGTTATCTACAGCCAGATACCATTTGGATTATTGAATTCCTAGGATGTTCCTTGCCTCTCTGATTGTTTGCCATCTAATCATATCCACTCTTATGTTTTTATTTAACTTCTTAGTATACATACCTGATTCCCACCTTTAAGTATCCTAAAGGAACACAATGCCTTATCTTGCTTTCCCTCCGCCCTTGGCACACACCACCTACCACAACGTTGAACTTACAGTAAACGATCAAGGACAAGTTTCGGACTAATGCATTTGGATGGAATGGCTTCTGTGGCTTTCAAACAGAATTCTAGATCTGACCTAGACCAGACCCAGATCCTGCCTGGATGTCAGGACTTCCCTGTCTCTAGAGAGGCAGCATGAACAGAGACACAATGCCGGGCGGATTGTTCTGACCTGGCTCCCAGACCCAGGCCAGGGGCCAGGGTGTGTGTATAAGGGCATTTGTATTCTGATGGCCTTTGTGGGTTTTTTAAACCCCAATTGTATCATTGATTTTTTTTTTGGCATTGACGTTAAGATTTTCATTCAATGGTGATGGATTTTAAAATTGCCCTGCCATGTGGGGTGTTACTAAAGCTCATGTGGATGAAGGCTGTTGAACGCCTGTGTCTGTGCTCACACTGGCTGCTTTGCTTTCCTTTCCTGCCTGACACGTCCTCTCCATCTTCCCCTTCTCCGTTGCCATCTTCCTGCCCTTGTCTCCTGCCAGCTTCCTCCTTTTCTGCACTCAGCCTTACCCTTTCTTCCCCTTATGCTTCCTTTCTGGGACTCCCAAACCCAACTGTGCTTTAGAGAAAGAGTCCTGGACTCAACGCCAGGGAAATGCATGCCCGTGTTCCTGCCTTGCTGCCTTCTACTCTGACCTTGAGAAGGTTATGAACTCTTGGGCTTCCATTTTGCCATCTCTCAAGCCAGTGAGTTAGACCATGGATGAAAGACCGCCCATCCTAGGATTATAAACTGGGTAAGATTTGCATCAATGTGAGTCTTCACACTGATGCTGGCTCCAGGTTTCCTTTCTCCACTGTGAGCTGAGTTAAAAACTCTCTATTAGGAGGCATTTCACATACCATTGTCGAGGAGGTGGGAAATAACAATTCCATTCATTTGCCAAGTAGAAAAGCCCTTGCCTTCTTGGTTCATTCAGCAGAGGGAAAAGTAAGCTAGGCGGAGGCAGGAATGGCCTTTATTTGCAAAGGAGGCTGTGCCTCACTGTTCTTCAACAGGATGCCTAATGAGTTAGAATTTGAGTAGCATGGCTGGGTGCAGTGGCTCACGCCTGTAATCCCAGTACTTTAGGAGGCTGAGGCGGGCAGATCACAAGGTCAGGAGTTTGAGACCAGCCTGGCCAACATGGTGAAACCCTGTTTCTACTAAAAATACAAAAAAATTAGCCAGGCATGGTGGCAGGCACCTATAATCCCAGCTACTCAGGAGGCTGAGGCAGGAGAATCGCTTGAACCCAGGAGGCAGAGGTTACAGTGAGCCAAGATGTGCCGCTACACTCCTGCCTGGGTGACAGAGCGAGACGCCATCTCAAAAAAAGAAAGGTTATGCCTCACAGGTTCTGACATTCAGTAGGATTTGCACTTTGGTGCATTTTTCTTTGTACATAAAACCCTCATCTCACTTTTAGAACAGTGCAGTACTTAACTTTTTCCAGGATTAGGTATTCATTTCAGTCATGAAAAAGAAAAGGGCATTTGACCCAAATTACAAAAACTATTGAAGTAAAACTGCCCTATTTTTTCCTTCATGCTTTCATTGCAAAATGCAGTGACTGTCTGCTGCTGGATGAGTGTGTATTTGGGGGCTCTGAGGGATGGAGAAGGAGAGGCACGACTCGCAAGTGCCAGGAATTCACATTCCGCTGACGCGGGAACACGGGCAGTGTATAGACATTGTACAGACATTGTAAAGACATTAGAGCACAATTTTGAGAAAACGTGAAAGGATTTCCACAAGTCTTTATGTCCTCTGTATATTAAGGTGTTAAGACAATGGATAGCAAGAGAAAGATGGGATTTTGTGGCAGAAACTTCCAAAAAAAAAAGTTGACATGGAGCAGGTCCTCAAAGCAGGAGGCCTCAGAGTACTTTGTAGTTTAAGTAGGAGGGAGGACTCGGGTATCTGGAGATGGGAATGGAATTACCAGAGGAGAGGAGCATTGAAGAAATGGCGTCAACACTGAAGAATGTGCTGCTTTATAAGAATAATGAGCCCTTAAATGCCAGTCTGAATCTTAGCTTGACAAATGAGGCGAATCTGAACACCTTTGGGATAATAATAGCGCCTTGCTCTATTTGAGATAAAATCCATTTCTTCTGACTTCTGAAAGGAATTATTGTATTGGTCCATTTGTTTTATTTTAGGAAATTTTAAAATATGAGGTAGAAAAGTATAAAGTATTCTCCAAGTTATTAGCTAATAATTGGCTGATGTCACCCAGGTGGTTATATAATAAACTGTCTCAGTATCATTAAATTCTAGAAGTCCAGAAGAAGAAGTCAAGGACTTCTTAGTATTTTGAGGCAGAGGGAAGAACTACAAAAAAACCTCAGGGCAGGAAAATTGGACCTGTTGCAGGCCCTGAAAGCTGGTGTGATTTGAGTACAGTGAGAGAGAGACACAGAGACAGAGAGGGAGAGAAGACAGAGAGAGAGAGGGTGGGGAGACAGAGAAGGAGAGAAGACAGAGGGGAGACAGAGAGAGACAGTGGGGGCCAGTAGGGGAATGGAAGCACAATTGTGGGTTGGTGTCTCCTGGCTCAATGCCTAATGAGTTAGAATTTGAGTAGCATGGCTGGGCACCGTGGCTCATGCCTGTAATCCCAGCACTTTGGGAGGCCGAGGCAGGCAGATCACAGGGTCAGGAGATCGAGACCATCCTGGCTAACACAGTGAAACCCCGTCTCTACTAAAAAAAGAAAAAAATACAAAAAGTTAGCCAGGCGTGGTGGCAGGCACCTGTAGTCCCAGCTACTCAGGAGGCTGAGGCAGGAGAATTGCTTGAATCCAGGAGGCAGAGGTTGCAGTGAGCCAAGATCGTGCCACTGCACTCCAGCCCGGGAGACAGAGTGAGACTCCATAAAAAAAAAAAAATTGAGTAGTATATTACTTTGCTAGGGCTGTCGTAACAAAGTGCTACAGACTGGGCGTCTTCAACAATGAAAATGTATTGTCTCACGGTTCTGGAGGCCAGAAGTCAGAGATCGAGGTGTCTGCAGGGTGGGCTCCTGCTGAGGCTGTGAGGGAGTGCTGGCTCCAGGCCTCCTTCCTGCATCTGGTGGTTTTCTGGCAATCTTTGGTGTTCCCAGGTGCACCAATGCATCTCCAGCCTCTGCCTTCGTCTTCACATGGTGCTCTCCTTGTGTGCATGTCTGTCTCTGTGTCCACATTTTCCCTGTTTACACCGACACCAGTCATTTGGATAAGGATCTTTTTTAATGACCTCATTTTAACTTGATCACCCCTGCAAAGGCTCCACCTCCCAATAAAGTCCCTTTCTAAGTCCTGAGGATAACGACTCCAACATGTCTTTTCTAGGAGACACAATTCAACACATAGAAAACAGTTAAGAAAAAAAAGAGAAAATTTGGTAATTGTCTTCTGTACAGACTTCTATTAAAACAATGAAATGTTTATTTACCAAAATCAGGACCAAGTTACAGGCCAGTATTAATATATGAAACTGCTTGCGTTTCACATGTACACTTAAATTTCCAGTCCTGATTTTCATACCAAGAAACATGGCCAAGTCATCACTTCATAAAGGAAAACCGTTTTGGAAGGTAAAAAAGACAATTACTGTTTGAAACAGTCTAACATTGAACTTTAGATGTAAACTATGCCGAGCAAACATTTTTTCCAGGTAACGTTATTTGTTGCAGACAGCCTTTGGCCATTGTGTAGATCCCAAATGTGGTGAAATGGGAGCTCCCAGATCATTGCCCAGTTTCCAGCTGCCATCCCGAGTTTGTTGGTGTCACTGATTCCAAGAACAAAACACTGGTGCATGAAATTAACAACCTTATAAATAGATGACAGCACGTCTGTTAGACAAAAGGCTGCAGTTATCCCCTAGAAACAATCAAACACAATTCCAGTAAAAGTCTTGCCAAATACCTCTTTGTAATTCAAGGAACCTAACAACAGACAATATGCAGTGCCTCCTTGTTTATGTTCTGGAACTCAGCGCTGCTGCAGTGTAACTGAGAACAGGCTAGTACAACCCACAGGCATCTTGAAGTGTGCAAGGAGGCTCAGAGAGGTTTATAGCATTGTTGTTTTGTTTTGTTTTTCATGGTTCTTTATGTCATTGTTTGTTTTATAAAGTGTTATTTATAGTATGTTCATCCTTAGGGACTTTTCCTTGAAACCACCACCTTTAATGCTGATGATTGGTGTTCCCATGGACCTTGGGTTAAGGGGGCCAAATGGTATAGATGCCCTGGGGAGAGCTTGCTATTGGCCTTTGGGAGAGACCCTGCAGCAGTAGGTTTCAGCTCTCCCAGTGGCAGAGCTGGGTGATAACTGCACTTTCTTCTAAGGGCGATACATTTTGGGAATGTGCGTGGTGTGAGTTTTCTGCCAGCATCTTTATAGAGCAATGTGTACTTGCAAATAAATACAACCAAAGTCAACAAAAGAGCATATTGATGCTTTGGTAGAGAACTCAGCAGTCTCCCCTCTCTGTAGCGTAAAATCCAGGGAAAACAAAGGCCCCACAATGGGGACAGATGGCCCCGCATAGGTCTAAGGACTGCCATTCCGTTTTAAAGTTATAAAGTACTCTCACACTGTTTACCTCTTTTATTTCACAAAACCACCGCATTAAGTGGACAGGGTAGAAGATATTATCCTCACTTTTTATATGGAGAAAACGTGGCTCAGGTGACGAGGTGAATATTTGTGGGTAAGGCAAGAACTTTCTTTCTTTCTCAGTCAGTTCTCTCTACTCAAGTGGACTTCTTTTTATTATTATTATTATTATTATTATTATCATTATACTTTAAGTTCTAGGGTACATGTGCACAACGTGCAGGTTTGTTACATATGTATACATGTTACATATGTATACATGTTGGTGTGCTGCACCCATTAACTCGTCATTTACATTAGGTATATCTCCTAATGCTATCCCTCCCCCAGCCCCCCACCCCATGACAGGCCCTGGTGTGTGATGTTCCCCACCCTGTGTCCAAGTGTTCTCATTGTTCAATTCCCACCTATGACTGAGAACATGCAGTGTTTGATTTTCTGTTCTTGCGATAGTTTGCTCAGAATGATGGTTTCCAGCTTCATCTATGTCCCTTCTAAGCTGACCCCACTCCTTCCTTTCATGGTAGGCACACATGCACCGAGTAAAATGGCTGAATCTGGG
The DNA here is from genome assembly GCF_000001405.40 of Homo sapiens. Classification (NCBI taxonomy): domain Eukaryota; kingdom Metazoa; phylum Chordata; class Mammalia; order Primates; family Hominidae; genus Homo; species Homo sapiens. The sequence continues at coordinate 176,899 of NW_012132919.1, forward strand.
CTCCAAAATGTTCTCTTCAGTCCCGCATGTTTTGGCAAACTTTCCTCTCTGCTGTGGCACTTCAATCCCGCTCTTCTCCATAAGGTCTATCCTTTTCTTCATAAAACTTTCTCATGGATGGCTCCAGTCCCAAATAAAGCTATCCTCCTGCTCCTGGCTTACTCCAATTTCCCAGCTCTTTTGGGAAATGTAAACTTTATGGTGTCATTATTCCTTTTATGTAACTTCCTTTTTTCTTTTCTGAGATGGAGTCTCACTCTGTTGACCAGGCTGGAGTACAGTGGCACAATCTCAGCTCACTGCAACCTCTGCCTCCTGGGTTCAAGCGATTCTCCTGACTCAGCCTCCTGAGTAGCTGGGATTACAGGCACTTGCCACCGTGCCCGGCTAATTTTTCGTATTTTTTGTAGACATGGGGTTTCACCATGTTGGCCAGGCTGGTCTCGAACTCCTGACCTCAGGTGATCCACCTGCCTTGGCCTCCGAAAGAGCTGGGATTACAGGCGTGAGCCACCATGCCCGGCCCTTTTATGTAATCTCTTATCCTGTCCCAAAGACAATTTTATAAAATAATAATAAGTAGCACTTTTGGGTGATTAATAGGTGCCAGGCACCATGTCAAAAACTTTCTGTCCAGTATCTCCTTTAATCTTCACAAGAAACCTATTGTGGTAACTCTTACACCATTTTATAGATGATGAAACCAAGGCTAAAGGAAATATGATGAAATGTCCAGGGTCACTCGGCTGGGAATTTGGGAAGCCAAGTTGGAAACTCAGATCTACTAATTTTCAAAGCTTGCACTTATTTTAAAGTAATGGCATATTTGGTTTGTTGTCATAGTTTAATCATGAACTGTTTCAAGTGTACAGAAAAGTACAGATGGCATTACTTAAAACCACTTGCAGCCAGGCGCAGTGGCTCATGCCTGTAATCCCAGCACTTTGGGAGGCTGAGGCAGGTGGATCACCTGAGGTCAGGAGTTTGAGACCAGCCTGACCAACATGGAGAAACCCCATCTCTACTAAAAATACAAAATTTGCCAGGCGTGGTGGTACATGCCTGTAATCCCAGCTACTTGGGAGGCTGAGGCAGGAGAATCGCTTGAACCCTGGAGGCGGAGGTTGCGGTGAGCCATTGGACTCCAGCCTGGGCAACAAGAGCGAAACTCCATCTCAAGAAACAAAAACAAAAACAAAAAACCACTCACATCCAGAATGCTCAAATTTAACAAGTGTGATCTGTCTTGTTGAATGCGTCCAGGGTCTTGAAGGTGTGTATGTATGCTGATGCACTTGGATGACCTGTTGTAAAGTATGTCAATTAGGTCAAATTAGTTGATATTTTGTTCCAGTCTTCTATTTAATTACTTTTGCTGTGAATTACTGTGTAAGAAGTATTGAAATCTCTCATTGTATTTGGAGATTTGTCTAGTTCTCTTTTCAAATCTGTCACGTTTTGCTTAGTAAATATTGAAGCTCTCACAGTAAGCACATATACATTTAGGATTTTCTTGTCTTATCATTGAATTGACCTTTTCATCATTATGAAATGTCCCTGGTAGTATTCCTTTGTCTCTGTTAATATTCTGTGTTCTTCAGTCCATTTGTTTGATAATAAACCATTGCAGCTTTCTTTTGATTCATATTTGCCTGGTAGAACTTTTTCTATCCTTTTACTTCTAACCTCTTCATATGTTTACATTTAAAGTATGTTTCTTATAAATAACATGTAGTTAGGTCTTGCTTTTTTTTTCTTTCAGTGAGACAATCTCTATCTTTTAAAAAGAATATTTAGAGAACAGATTAGCAAATTATGGCCCCTGAGCCTAATTTATCTTAGTGCCTATTTTTGTAAATAAAGATTTATTGGAAAACATCCATGAGCATTTGTTAGGTATTGTCCAAGGCTGTTTTTGTACTTCCAAAGTAGTTGCAATACAGACCGTATGGCTTGAAAAACCAAAAGCATTTATTATATGTCCCTTTATGGAAAATATGTGCTGACTCCTATTTTAAATGTTACATTTGATGTAATTGTCAGCATGATTTAATTGAAATCTACCATTTGCTATTAGGTTGGTGCAAAAGTAATTGTGGTTCTTGCCAGTAAAAGTAATACTTGTTTCTTTATGCTTCTCTCTTCTGATTTTTGGTTCAATTTTTCCTGTCCTCTTTTGGCTACTTGAGTTTCTTATTATTCCAATTTATTTTCACTGTTGGATTAACAAGCTCTTTGTTTTACTTTTTAATGGTTGATCTATGTTTACAATGGGCATTTTTAAGTTATCACAGTTTATCTTTGATTGATGGACCACTTTTGGTATATCGTGTAAAAGCCTACAGCAGTATTCTTCCATCATTTCACCATACCATCCTTTCTGATATTTTGTTGTTCATTTCATTTCTACATATGTTTAAATCCCATAATACATTGTTATTATTTGTAGTTTAGAAAATCAACTGTCTTTAAGAAAAAAAACAGCTTTATATTTATCTATTTCTTAATTCTTGTTTGTTTTTGTTTTGTTTTGAGATGGAGTCTCGTTCTGTTGCCCAGGCTAGAGTGCAATGGCACGATCTTGTCTCACTGCAACCTCTGCCTCCCAGGTTCAGGTGAGTCTCCCGCCTCAGCCTCCCATTTCTCGAGTAGCTGGGATTATAGGCACCCACCATCATGCCTGGCTAATTTTTTGTGTGTGTGTTTTTGTAGAGACAGGGTTTCACCATGTTGACCAGACTGGTCTCGAACTCCTGACCTCAGGTGATCTGTCTGCCTCGGCCTCCCAAAGTTTTGGGATTAGAGGTGTGAGCCAGCATGCCTGGCCTATTTCTTAATTCTTAATCCTTTTTTTTTTTTTTTGAGACAGGGTCTTACTCTGTCACCCAGCCTGGAGTGCAGTGGTGCGATCTCTATTCACTGCAACCTCTGCCTCCCATCTTAATTCTTTTTTATAGAAACGAATTTCCTCTGGCTTTATTTTCTTTCTGTCTGAAGAATTTATTTAACATTGTAATGCTGGTCTACTGGCAAT